>NC_000006.12:124767759-125070790 GCF_000001405.40 Homo sapiens
TTCTGCTTCTATTTTAGCTGATCCACACTGCACTTGCCCATTTATTTATTGGTCCATTCATTTTTTACTTTTATTTTCGTCTGGTGCCTCCCACTAAAGTGCAATCTCTGGGAGAACAGATTTCTCTTCTGGCACCACTATATTTCAGCACATGATGCTATGCACAGCACACAGTAGATTCCCAACATATTTACCTGACTTTTGATAGTTTTACATCATATCATGTGACAATGGCTTTATATTAAAGTTATGTTAAATTACATTAAATTTATAATTTAATCACATTAAATTAAAGTCATGTAAATTCTTGAAAGACCACTAAAAGTAAAATCAACAGAGTGTTTACATCCTCATTCTAGAGATAGGAAAGAGTCCAAAACATTTAAAACAAAACACTAATCATTTTGATTCAAGGAGATGTCTTAATAAACTATGTAAATGTATATAATTTGTAGATGGTATATTACTGTAATGTGTGAAAGTATTGAGTATAACAAACCAGGATGGAGCCATTTAACTTTTTATTAAGCTTCTATATCCAACCTTATTGCAAAGGAAAGCATGTACAAGCTCCCCACTTCTGTCAATGTGGAAATATAATGAATTTTTCCTCTGAGAGTGCTGAACAGCCATCTCAGCTAAGTTCTTACCTCTACAGCAAAACATCAATCTAATCTGTCATCTCAGCAGCACTCACTGGCCATTCTGTGAAATATCCTTCTGCTATTTGAGAGCTCAGGCTCCTAACCTTCATTATCAGAAAAATAACGAATCACACCATCCTAATCCTACAGTGTTTCCTAAGCTAAAAATGCAATATCATAAACTTTATATACAACACTTTTGAGGTAGCTACAAACAGACATCAGTCACCAAAAACATACTCTCAAACATTTCCTAGATATAAGAATTGTCTAATTATTCATAGGAATTGTCTAATTATTCATACATTCAAAATTTTTGTACCTGGGGGAAAAAAAAACAAAACTTTTGTTTGATTTTCTCCATCTTACCAGCAGGATTTTAGTAATTGGCATCATATATGAAAGAAAAATTTATACTTAGCCTGTTCCTGTGTTGTGTTTCTTTCCAGGGACATAAATATTGATGCAAACACCATTTAAAAACCCATTTTATAGTGTCACATTTACAAAGCTGTTTTGGGTCACCACAATCATTGGAATTCATTCACCCCTCAGAAAATACTTTATTCTGGTCATAACATCACATTTTTCCTCTCATGCAGAATGAACAATCTATAGTCACATGTTGTTTCTTTCTTTAAGCCACAGTTTCTAAATTGAGTGTCTAGCATTTATAATCAACTGCTTCATTTAATTCAGGTCGATTTTAAATGCTAGCCATTCATTTGGTGGACTGTGAGCAGCCTGTGGTTTTGTTAGATCTACAGCATAAAGAAACAGTTTTTCTTATCCTGATCCTATAGTTGTCTGGGAAAGGTGACACTCGGTGAGACATAATGATAAGAAAGGCTACAGATGCCCTAGGCAGTCAGAACCAAAGCCAGATGATTAAACCATTCTGCAGCATTCCCCAAAGACAAAGCAAGGGAAGCAATGTTTTGAATGTTTAGTACTAAAAAAATTCTCCAGAACAGAAGTCACACATACTGTATGTGTTTTTGTTCCTGCAATCCCCCACCCTCTGTTTCTGTAGTTCCTCCTATTAATGAAGAATTCAGAGAGGGAGGAATGATAGTTTTTGCATGCCTATTTACTGGGATTTCTTTTATTCATCTGTAGAGTGGAAATATCAACTAGATTAACTTTGAAAGATTATAAAAAAACTCAGAATTCTCCATGTCTCCTCATGAGGAAGATTGTTTTCCCTGTTTCAAGCAATGCACCTAAACGATACACTCCTTCATTTTACTGATTCCTCTTACTTATTGTTCTAGTAGAGGCACATCAGTCGGTAAAGGAATTGAAATGCATTCACGACATTTGAGTTTGCTAGATTCATTTACAAGTGATTGATGGGTTCACCTGGCAACTTCAAGACCTATTTGCTTTTAAAAATCAAACCCTTAATCCTAAACCTAACATGAAGATTCATGACTTGAGAAGATAATTTTTAGGTCCCTGTAGCACACTCTATATTGACATTCTTGTTTTAGGTAGAGAAATGTGGAAGAGGGAGGAATAGTGTGTATAGTTTCATATGTCACACCTTCTTCTGGAAATTCAAGAGTTAATCTCTTTTCCTTTATTATCTTCAACTTGGTTTCAGGCAGGTAGTGGCCCTCTCTAGAGACAGATTCTGTCAGCACTTTAATAGCTCCCTCAAATGAGAACAGTCAGCTTCAATAGGGGTTAGAGAAAATAGAGTACATATTTGCTTTAACAGGAGAAAAGGAAAACATTAACAAACTAAACATTACTTTAAAAACATGAAAACATCACATTTTAAATTTAAAACTGCCTAACTAAATCTTGCAGTATGTTATTGGTATCACCTGTTCCTAGATGCAACTCCAGCCCTTTTCCTACTGGACTTGGCTTCCCTCATGTCAGGCAGCCTTCCCCTTGGGAATTTTCTGTTTCCTGTCTGTTAGTCTCCATTCACACCCTTACACTCATTTCAGCCTTTCTGAAAAAGGAGGTGGTAAAACTTCACTAATCTCTTAGCGAAATTCTCACTGTGTATCTGTGTACAATGTGCTGAAAAACACCTTCAAATCCCATTTCCATTTCCCCAGAGAATTGGGCTTCCTGGAGAGAGATATTAAGGGTTTTGTCTGCCTTTTTTAGGTTGACAATATCTTTTATTTTAACTGCCTCTGCATGTCATCTATTTCAAGATTTCTTATGTAATTTACACATTTTAATTTACTCTATTCTCTTATTTTAGTTTTTTCCCCTTTTCTTTTTACTACCTGAAATCTGCCTTCTCTTATTAACGATGCTCTGATTCATTATTTCACTTCTTATGATCTGACTGTTTTAAGTGCACCAGAGGCCACTTAAAAGACTATTAAGCCTCCAGAGGAGTGACAGGTACTTTTGCACTAGCCCAATGATTCTTACTTGTTTTCTATCTGCTGCCCTCATGAGAGCTTTCTTTCCAAGCATACACTCTATCATCCCTATAACTAAAATAATACCAAAAAAAGCCACGTACACAGTTCATCTTCCTTTGCCATATCAGGAGAACCAGAAAATTGTAAAGAAAAGAGAGTAAGAGGAAATCTAGGAAGAGCTGACCTCATCATTAATTAACAGCTACTGGTAATTGCACGTTTCTATTTATAAAGCTTCTCAGAACCTCCTATGAGACTTCCCTGCAGATCCTAATTCCATGAGTATCTTGACTAGTCCAAAAGCCCTTACTCCTAATCCCAACGAGAGCTAACATAAATAGGTGTATTGCCTAAGACAGTTGCTTCACCATAAGACATTTTAGAGAATCTGTACCTTTGAAGTAGAACAAAAAGTGTTGTGGATATGTCTTATTTAGTTTAGGCTATGTTTAACACAGAGATTCATATTGTTTATAGAAGAATTAAGAAACATTTTGCATAATATATGAAATGTTTTAAAGTGTCCATGACCCAGCAATCTCATTTGGAATAATATACCCTCAAAAAAATTGATAATTGAACCAACAGGTGTGTTTTCCTAGGATATGTCTTTTACAGAAAAAATTGAAGCTACCTGAAAATAGGAGATTGAGTGAATTTTGTTGTATCAATATAAGGAAATATATGTAAGCATTACAAAAAATGATTGAGAGTTCTATTATTGTCATTGTAAGACGATATTTTGCTGAGGGACAACAGTAGATTTAAGCAGCATATATAATACAATGGGATTTAACACTTTTGCAAAATTGTGTTTTTATATGTAGATTATAGTGTATTAACAGAGATTAAATAAATGGCAGAATTATGAGTTATTTCTCTTTTTCTCTTTCTACTTTTTCTATAGTGAGCATGAATCAATTTTGAAATTAATGAAATCTGAATCTAAATTTTTTTTAAAAAGTGTTTATTTCTTAGAGTAAAAACACCCAGCAAAAACTGAGGAGGTGACACTTAAGCTGAGTTTTGAAGAAGCCAGAAGAGTTCTCTAGGTGAATGCAGTGGTTCTCCTTCATGCAACAGCAGGGGCAAGGGCTGATATATGTTAGAGGAGTTGCTAGAGAGAATGGCATTTATGAATACTATAAGTAGCTCAATGAGACTAGAACATACAGTGCAATAGAAATATAATGGGTGTGAAAGTCAGGAGGCAAATTTTGAAAATGCCACATATGCCAGGTAAAATAATTTGAATTTTGTCATGAAAGAGTGAGAAAGATATTTTTTAAAGAGTAATGGCATAATAGAATTGCATTTTTAGAAAGATCACTCAGAAGCATTGTGAAAAATGAATTGGCAACCTTTTATCATACACTCTGCCAGACTGAGGCAGTGGCAATGAGGTGGGAAAAGAAATAATTGAGTTTATGGTCTTAGTTGTAGAAACTTAGGGCTTTGTAGGGTGGAAGTATAGGTGTAAACATTGTCAATGATAACCTCTGAGATTCAGGATAATCCAATGGAATAGTCAATGGTGCCATTCCCTGTGACAGAGAGCAAGAGACGAGGGCCAGAGTTAAGGGGGAAGAGGACTCTGTGCTGTACATGATGAGTTTGAGACACACAGAGTTTTTCCAAGTGAAGATGCCGAGTGGGCAGCTGCACATTAGAGCCTGGAGCACTGAAGGGAGATATCAGCAGCATATGTGGATTTGGGGAATCTACTTCCCATGTGCAGGCATGATTTTAAAGGATTATTTTACACTTGCTTTTCACATGCTTTTCATTTCATAACTTAGAGAAATCTGGCTTCCCCACCTCCTCGTATTAAATACTGTTCTCACTAAAATGATCTCCAATGACTTGCAGGAGGCTAAGTCCATATACAGTGAAAGTTGTGGAACGAATAGAGAAATATGTAAAGGAAGAAGCAAAGAGGGCTTAAGAGACAACTTAGAGATCACAATTACTTAAAGTTCTGTTAACGAAAAAACTCAGACACTGTGGAATCCAAAAGCAGGAAGGATGGGAGAGGAGCAAAGGTTGAAAAATCATCTATCAGGTATAATGTTTACTCTGGGTAATGGGTACACTAAAAGCCCAATCCCTACTAGTATGCAATATACCCATGTAACAAACAAGCACACATATCCCCTGAATCTAAAAGAAAGAAAAAGAACCCAAAACTAAGACTGAAATTCATAAGTAGGTGGGAGAAAAAAACATAAGAGACTATTGTTACTAAGGCTGAGGGATGTGAGAACTGCAAGACCCCAGAGGCTTTTTAGTGGTGTTGGAACTTGGCCAAGCCAAATAAAGTCAAGTCTGAATACTTTCTGTGGACTTAGTAACCTGAATGTCATTAGACATCCTCCTAGTGAGAACCGTTTTAAGATAGAAGAGAAAGTGGAAGCCTAATCGCTCTGGATTGTGGAATAAAAGACACACAAAGAGCAAGTGTAGAATAACCCTTCAACAAGCCTGGCAGCAAATGGGAAGGAGAAAGAGGAGGGAGAGAGAAGAGGTGCGAGTGGTGGGGGGGTCACTGGAAGCCTTTTTAAGATTTGCATTTCTTTTTTCCTGCGGGGAAAGGAATGGTAGAATGGGAAAACTGAGGTAATTGAAGAAAAGAAACAGAAGGACACAGCATTCGGACCAGAATGAAAGATCAGCTATGGCTCAGAGGTTAAAGACTTTACCCTTGGAGATGGGTTTATAGGCCTGCAGGCTGGATAGCAATGGAGGTAAATTTGAATGTGGGAAAAATTTGGGAGAATTTTTCTAAGTAGAATACCAGGTACAAATTACAAGTTATATTCAGTTTCTCAAAGAGGGACTAGACCCAGCAATTTCTATGCAGATTATTGGTGCTAAAATAACCCAGGTTAACCACATTAACTTCAGAAACACAATAAAAGGGACTTTTTCATGTATCCGATTAAATTACTATGGAAAAATAATAGAGTGGGGTTAGTAGTGTGAGTGCCAAGAAAGGTGCAATTTAAAATAGTGATCAAAGTAAAACTTACTGAAGTGACATTTAAACAAGATTTGAAAGAGATACTGAGAAAATATTGCATGCCTAAAAGCTGCCATGGGCTTCTATTTTCAAGTAATAACAAGGAAGCTCATGATAGCTAGAGAAGAGTGAGTAGGAGAACAAGAGGAGGAGATTGAGTCAAAGAGGTAATGGGGAGACACATTATGTCACATTTGGAAGCCTCTGTAATGACACTGGCCTTTACTGAGAGTAGATTGGAGAGTCATGGAAGATTTTGAACAAAAGAATGACATGATCAGACTTACATTCTTAGATGATCAGGCTGGCTGCTGTGCTACAAGTAGACTATGAGTAAGGCTGAATTGTTGCAAGTGGGGAGACGAGTTAGGAGGCTATTGCAGTGATCTAGGTGAAAGAAATGGCAAATTGGACCTGGGAGACAGCAGTGTAGATGGTTAAAAACGGTCAGATTCTGAGTATACCTTGAAGGCAAATCTTACAGTATTTTCTGACAGATTGGTTCTATAATGTCAGAAAAAGAAGAGTCAAGGATGAGTCCACAAGCTTGGGACTTAACATCTGGAAGGATGGCATTGTCATTACCTGAAACAGAACAGCTATGGATACAGTTAGGTGTAGTCAGGTATTAGGGAGTAGAGCAGGATTGTAGTTTGCACATAGTAAGTTTGAAATGTCTACTAAGACGTTCTGAGGGGAGATGTCTGGTGGGAAGTCAGACACACAAGTATGTCCAAAGATACTGTCAACACCTTGGCTGGGCACGGTGGCTCACGCCTGTAATTCGATCACTTTGGGAGACTGAGGCAGGCAGACCACCCAAGGTTTGGAGTTTGAGACCAGCCTGGCCAACATGATGAAACCCTGTCTCTAGTAAAAATACAAAAGTTATCTGGGCATGGTGGTGTGCACCTGTAATCCCAGCTACTTGGGAGGCTGAGGCAGGAGAATTGCTTGAGCCCGGGAGGTAGAAGTTGCAGTGAGCCAAGATCACACCATTGTACTCCAGCATGGGCTAGAAGAGCAAAACTTCATCTCAAAAAAAAAAAAAAAAAAAAGATACTGTCAACATCTTGTATCTTTGACAGTATCTTTGGACAGTTGTTGTCCAAAGATACAAGCACCAAGGATACTGTTAATGAATGTGATGATTTTAAAAAAATAAACCTCCAATTCTAGAGAGAAGAGAAGAGAAAGGTTTAATTTCCTGACCTCTAAACCATCTGTGCTCTCAAAACACTTGAACATAGGGTATGGAAGAGGCACAGTCAATATTTGATAATCAAATAATTCAAGCATATTTTTTACTTCCATGAAAGGACAATGCTTCATTTCTTTTAACAACAGGCTTTTGAACTATTGAGTATTCATTGGACTGGGAGTGAGGAAAAAAGCAGATATTCAGACAATATTTGAGACAGGCAAATGTGGAACTCAGAAGTGAGTTTTCCATCTGCCACTTTTTTAGGAGGCCGATTGGGCCAAGCCATTCTGAACCTTCTTTTGCAGCTTTCTTGGGATGAAGCCAGCCTTTAATCTCCTCAAAGGAACTTCTGTTCGTATTCATTGAATTAATGGTTTTACTTAAGAAGTTGATACAGTACAGCTTTAAAAACAACAACGAAACCTACATTATAAATTGAAGTCATCTCCAAGTAGTATATTCAAGTTCTGAATTAATTATATAGGAGATTTTGACCATCCAGAGAACATTACATTATTTCTGTTTATTTAATCCCATTTCATTTTCCTTCAAAAACTCTTCAAATAGGATATAGTCATATACAGGTAAAACTGAATTTTTCATGTAAAAGTGAATTGTAATTGCATGTGACTATAAAGAGATCGTTATCTGTGAAATGGGAAAATGCCTGCAACATCAAGCTTGCACTCTACGTGAGCAGTGACCCTACTATCTTAGCTATGATAACACTGCAAGGAGCTAAACCATCAGTCAGGGTTACTGCACTGGACAGCTTCAGAACCCTCTTGACACTGATTTAATTGAAATAATGATTTTTTTTTCCTTTTACTATCCTGAACATTTCTGTTCTTTTAGAGAGGTCAAGCTACTGAAATACCAATAGTATCCAAAGGGTCCAAAGGGTCAAGGCCAAGGGCAGCAACAAAAGTTTGTCATTGTACAGCATAAGAGGATCTGGTAATGTGGAAGTACCTCACTCCTGTGCCAGCTTCAGTACACGGCTCCTTTTCCCTGAGGCTGGCAGCTCTGGCAGAAATTAAAGCAAACCTTAGCCTCCTAAATCCAATTGCAGTTTGGATTGGAGGAGTTTTTGTTCTGAAAGAATATGTAGTGATCTGTGTTCATACTGTCCATCCTGTAAGCAATGATTAAAACTAATTTAGCTTGGTTATTCATTAAGTCTCCATGGACATTTTTGCATAACTATGGACTTTATATTTCTACCCAACAGTTTAGCACTGACTAGCCCTTGGGTTTATTGTACCCTACACTGGCTTCTTGCTGACAGTACCATGCTTGAGACTGACTTTTGAGTTTGAAAAGAGCAGAAATTCTAGACTAGAATTTCTAGAGGAAGAGTAGGAAGTGGATCACTTCACCTCTCATTTTTATTTGCACTCCAGTCACTCAATACACTGCTTTAGATCAAGGACAGGAACCATAGCCACAGAAAGGTCGTGAGGAAGTACATCATCATTCCAGTCTGTAGTCTACCTAATTCCAAATAGCATGTGATATGTGTATGTGTTTGGGAGGTGAAAGGGTAGGATGCCCTTGCCTTACAAATAGCTAAAGCTCTTAAGGGTAGGGTTGTGCGTTTTATTTCTGCTATAGTCTTGTATTCATCCACACTTCCACTTTAATATAGCCTGAACTCTCTTATTATACACCGTAATTTTTATCACATCTTTCTATTATACAGTGTTTTCTAAGAGATAAAAGTATGGTTTCCACTGTTTTTTTCTTTAGCAATTGCTGGAGTATTATGCTTCAAATTATAGGCACTCTAGATTGACAATTGTTCATATATTTTTGTGCCAAGTAGTCTTTTATCAGTTACTTACATTTAGCAGAATTAGAAGGTCTCATTTTTCTATTGCTGAGTGTCTATATTCATCTTAGTCGTAGCATATTTTCTTAGTTATAGATATTCAATTTAGATTAAAGGCTTAGATGTTGTATTATCATTAATAAAGAGAAATAGTTGGTTTCAACCTAAAATTTTTACCTCTTCAAAATAAAAGATATTCAAGGTAATATATGCTCATGTGATCAGATTTTTTAGTATTTTCTAAAGATTTAAATATAAGAATTCTGTATAATTCAGATTTTTAATAAATAATATTAAAGTGCAGATGGAAAGTTATGCTTTTGTGTATTTATTTATGTTTACTTTCCTAATCAGCTGCATATAAAGGAAGAAATTTCAGTCTATGAAGTGTATATTCTAAAGAGCTATCAAAAATGCCCATGGATGCCAGGGAGAATGTAGCCTTTTACATCCTGAGCTTGACTGGCAGACAGTAGAGTGGTTAAGAACATGGATTCTGGAGTCAGTCACCCTGGGTTTGAATCTCAGCTCCACTACCTATTAGCAGGTGACTTTGAAGAAGACTTTTAACTTCTCTATGCCACCAATTCCTCATCTATAAAGAGAATATAATAACTATACCTATCTCATAAAGTGATTGTGAGGAGTAAGAATTTATGCATAAACAGTGCTTGGCACAGAATGAATACTATACTAATGCTAATTGTTATTATTCACTAATATTCTCATATTGAATATATTCATCAGAGATGAGGAACAGCAAAGTCTGCCTGCCTTTTAGGAAGTTGTGAAGGTTGAAATTGATATATAACTTGGAATAGTGAAGTTGCAAGTCACTGGGAGTCAGAGTTATCTAAAGAAAGGGATTTAGAAGGAATCATACTCACAAACAAATTCTAGCTGAGGACCTTTTAGAGTGGAGGAAAGAGGTGAGGTATAAAAAATTTCTCTTACATTGTCTAATTTTAGAAAATTGACCTGCAGAAGCAGACTGAGGCTAATTACAGAATTCAGCCATCCTTCATAAAAGACCACAAAAATCAGCAGAATGTCATTTCTTACTCAGTATTTCTTGCTTTATTAGAAATCACATTCACACACACACACACACACACACACACAAACACACACACATGTACACAGAGATGACATCCAGTAATGAGGTTTTAACAATTTTGAAGTCATTAAGGTACAGTGAGGAGATAGACAGATTGTCATCAAACTTCGCTTTTCTGGGAGAACAAGTGATAATGACAGCATCTTTAAAGGCAAGAAAAAAATGCAAACAGCTTGCTCTCCCCCTGAGCTCTGATGCTGTGGTAATAACAAGCTCATGCCTTTGTATCTTTTCAAATGTAGTCGGAAATATAATGGAATGGAAAACATGTTTTCCTGAAGTTAAGGGAAAAAAACTACAAGTCAAAGGAGATATTAAAATGCCGAGTTTAAGGAACGAAAACATGGTTCTTATAGCACTTGATAGCAATTTTTAAATAATACTTCAAAAAAAAAAAGCCCTGCATAGGGGACAATTCTCAGCAGTCTCCTTTTTTGATATTTGACAAATTATCAAATTATTTTTCTTCTCCTACTCTTGTGTTTCTTTAATAGAGTCATCAATGTTGTATTCTCCTTGATATTTTTTGGCAAGTGTATAATAAAAAAATTTTAATGATATAATAATTTAAAAGAGAAAGTAAGAACTGATGATCTGGATAGAATTAGTTTGATATAAATATAGAGAAAATTCGAGCTCAGAAATATGAGTGATATTTACTAATAAAGATAGGTAAATAACTCTTAAAGAACTTTTAAAATTTGAGTAGTAAGAGAAGCAATTCCAATCCCCATATTTAAACTTCTCTTTTAGAAGGCGATTCCAAAAAATCTCTAAATTAGCTAACCATTCTCAACCTCTGCCTGCTTAAAGGAAAAAAAAGAAAAAATCAGAAACCACTTGAGCCAATTAATACATATACTAGGGAGAAAAAGAGACATTAAAAACTACCTTCCTTCTTGTAGGAATGGCTGAATAGAGTCAAAAACCGATGAACATTTACAAATGAGGAGAATTAATATATTTTTTGCTTCTCCTAGGAGCTCAAAGTGCATTCATAGTTATGATTTTTTTATCTTCATCTTGGGCCCATAAACGAGATGAAATATATTGTCAGGAGCGCAAGACCAGCCTGGCCAACATGGCAAAACTTCCTCTCTACTAAAAAATTATACAAAAATTAGCTGGGCGTGGTGGCACAGGCTTGTAATCCCAGATACTTGGGAGGTTTTGAGATGTGGGAGAATCAGTTGAGCCCTGGAGGTGGAGGTTGCGGTGAGCAGAGATCGTGCCACTGCATTCCAGCCTGGGCGACAGAGCCAGACTCCAACAAAGAAAGAGAGAGAGAGAGAGAGAGAGAGAGAGAGAGAGAGGAAGGCAGGAAGGAGGGAGGGAGGGAGGGAGGGAGGGAAGGAAGGAAGGAAGGAAGGAAGGAAGGAAGGAAGGAAGGAAGGAAGGAAGGAAGGAAGGAAGTCCTCCTGTCACTATTTAATCATGAAATCCTAAAGCAAAATTATTTAAATGAGTTGGTTCAAGATATAAGATTGGAAGTAACTGAAAATAAAAACCAGTTAATCCTTGAGAGCCTAATGTCCTTTAACAGATGAGTAAGTAAATAAATTGTGGCATCCTGGAAGAGTTTTGCTATAATGGCCTCCAATTGATTTTGACATTGAGATGATAGCAAACATCATACAGAGACCTGAGAAGTGCACCTTACTATTATTGCTCTTTAAGCCTGCCACACCAGTGTGAACAAGCCCAGATTATTCTGATGAATGATTAGATATGTGAGACCACAAATATGGGGTCCATTTATTTGACTTCATCACCCCCACCTAACAATAAGCCAAGCCCCAGAAAAAAAGTGCTACCCAGATGATTCACAGTCAACCATAGACTCATGAGTGAGCCCAACCAAATTCAGCAGAAGAACTGCCCAGCTGAACTCAATTCAAAATGTTGACCTAAAACACAATGAGCAAAAATGAATGGTTGTTACTTTAAGCCACTAAATTTTGGTTTGGTGTGTTATGTCTCAAAAGTTAGTGATAAAATTATATTCACATACTGATAGAACGCCAGTTGAAAATAAAACAATGAATTACTGTTAGATGCAGTAGCTTGGATTAATCTAAAAAATATTATATTATGCTCAGTGAAAGAAGCCAGACACCAAGCAATAAGATTCTATTGTATGAAGTTCAAGACCCAGCAAAAGTATTCTATGGTTATCAAAATCAGAACAGGTGTGGCCTGGTGGGTGGTGTAAGGGTTGGGAGAGTGGTGAGGATGAAAGGCCAAGAAGGAACTTTCGGGGGTAGTAGAAATATTCTTGGTTACTCTAGAGAATGCTGATAGTCCAGTAGTCCAGTTTAAGAATTAATATGCAAAAATGAATTAAGTTGTGCAATATAGGTATTTCTCAGGGTGCTATATGAGCACAGAGAGTGAGGAATGCCTATCTGTGCTTTTTGGTGTTTAGAAAATATTTCCCTGAGGAGTAGCCTTGAAGTAGCCCATGTTTCATGTAGGCATTCACTATATGGTGATAAATGTTGTTTGTTGGACAGAGAAATGCCTTATTCAAAAACATAAAGATATCAAACAGCATGGCATGTATAGTAGAGGAACTGCCAGAGATTTAATATGGAAGAGTAAAGGGGAGCCACAAGTGTTGGGGCTGAAAGCATAGGCTTGAGCCAATCATGAATGTCCTTCGACACTTTGCTATCATGTCTTTACCTTGTGAGCAAAAAGAGTTATCGTTTAGATTTTCAAGCTCTTAGAATCATCCCATCCATCTGACTCTCCACCTGATATGAGACTTGCCTTGCTCACCAGCAGTAAACTGAAGACAATTAGTGACTCACCAATATATGTCTAACATAAGAAGCCCACGCTGGTGTGTAGAAGCACGTGTAAGCAATTCAGAGGAGAACTATAAAATCATGATGAGTCGGAACCACTGAAATGGTAATTAAATGAGTGGGAGGAGCATGTGCATTCTCCTACATGCTCCAGGTTTCCCACAAGTAGTATTAAACTCCTCTGTGATTTGTCTGGTAGCTGAGCCACTTTGTTTCTTGATGATTTCCAAGCTCTGCTAATTCAAAGCTCAGTATTATCATCTGTATCCAGATTTCCGACTTGGAAAACTAGGTGAACTTAATTTTAACTTTTTTTTAAGTGAATGTGAATTCACTCTGATTATTAGAATCTTATGTTCCCTTTGCTTGAGAGTATTGTCAGTTTTGCCTTTTGGATAAACTAAGAAGACTGTGTGAAAATGAGAAGCATAGGATTTAGGGTCCATAGGCATGAATCAAGTCCTCTCATTATGTCTGAATCTTGGGAGAGCACTATATAACTTCTCTAAGCCTCAGTTTTTTCATTTATAAATAATAGATGATGATAGAAATTATCTCCTTAGTTTTGGAAAGAATGGATAGCAGAATGGCTGTAAAGATGTTACCACATGCCCAGAATATAGTGAACAGTAATGGCAGCTATTACTTTAAATAGTAATCACTGGCATTTCCTTTCCTACCTCCCAGCTGTTACCAGGATGTGAGGGGTTGGTTAGATGATTGGTTGGTTTTGAGGTTTAAGCACTAAAAATAAAAAAGTAATGCACAGAAATACAATTGCACTTTTTCCTAGGTTATATATTCCCAAACGGTAATAATGGTATTGCTAGTAATTAATGAAATCCCTTCAGTCTGAGGTTTATGACATTCTGTTTCACCCTTGCATTGGCTATGAGCTACGTAGAAAGAAGACAATCTAAGATTTATATTGAAAAGAAGGTAACTCAGATGGAAAGGAAGAAAGGGTCAGTGAAGAACACCAATTATAGCCAAGTTCTGACTCCAAAGTTATTCAGTCCAACTAGATTATACTGCTACACATGGATAGACTTGACGGGCCTTTTAAGTGACACTTCGATTCAGTATTGTGCCTTTTAAAATTGCTTTGGGAAAAAACTGGTCTTCAAATTTGTGTCTTCCCCAATCCACATTTTATTCCCCTGGAGGGTTCTTTTTCTTTTCCTACCTTCACTCCCATTCATCTTCCTTGCCACATACTGCAACAAGTACTTTGCTTCAGAGGCACGCTTTATTGGATGCCACATAAAATACCTTTTCATAAGCATAAAGCTTATTCCCACAGATGTCATGGGAAAGGGACCAATTGCTCTAAGGTTCCTACTTAACTGTATTTTCAAAACCCTAATAATGCATCTGAGTTTACGATAACATTTTAAAGTCACTCTTCTCTCTAGCTGGTTTGTCCTGATGTTTCCGTTGAGTTTAACTGTTTCTTTTTTAGTGCAATGAGAGTACTACTGACATCATTTTTGTATAATATTAATCAATGCATTATTTTTGATCACTGGATATGTGCTGAAGTCTCAGGTGCATTGTATATTCCACACTTTCCTTATCTTCCAATCTAGTACCTCTAAAAAGAAGGAAATGTTAACGTAGTTTTAGCCCCTTTCTTTTTCCAAATGCACCTATTTAATGCCAGTTATTTTTGCAACTAAATATTTTAATACAAATAATCTTCTCTCCTAGTCTCTACAGAGAAATCTGGCCTTGTGTTCCCATTGTCATCACTGGGGCAGCATACTCCTTCCAGTGAAATTCATGGATCCTTCTTTAGCCTTGTCTACTAATGTTAGAGAATATTCAATATGGGCAAATTTATTTTTACAAATGCCTTACCTTTTGTATAGTTAATTTTGCTATTGGTACCCTATTATCTCTGATCAAAAATGATGTTACTTGTACCATTTGCTCCCCAAAGAGCTATGTAGTGATTTTGTTCAAAAATTCTGTAGACAGTATTAATTGTGTACATTTTACAGAACATTTAAAAATTACACTTTCTGCTTCAAATGATTCATTATGAATAAATCAGAGTTCCTTTTGCACATTACAAACATACAATCTTAAACTTAGCTTTACCATTAAAATAGTATGGTATTATTGATAGTTGCTTTTTACATTTCCCAATTATTTTCAATGAATAGTTTTGGTTAAGGACTCCCCTATGGCTCTTATCTCTAAACCGGAAGGCGATTTCATGGTAGTTCTATTGCACTAGATTGGCCATTTCTTTGATCATCTCCCAACCGGCACATGTATGGAATGGTTGAACTACTGCTGTCAATACAGTTTTAAAAACGAATCTGATATGTAAACCCTGAGAGAGGTATTAACCATAATGACATTTGAATGTTATTAGCCATCTTTCGTCCTGCCTGAGTATCTTCTGCTCTGCCCAGTTTACTAATACACCAGACTCCTCTGAACTAGGATAACTTTTTGATAAGTTTGGACTGAAGAAATCTACCAGTTTCCAGAGACTATTTCATAACAGGAATGATTTGGTAAACCAGTGTTGGCATTTAGTTCAGTCTATTTCCCAACTTAAATAGATAATACCAGTTTGCATGTATGTCTAGTTTTATTTAATCTTTTAAAAAGTGTTTAATACAGTCATGCTTGATGATGCAGCAGAATACCTAAAGGCTGGTATTAAGATATGTTTCTGATCCTCTGAAAAGCTTTTCTGACCCAGTAGGCTGTGAACATTCACAATAGCCCTGGAGGCAATCCTCCATGTGTTATTGCAGGTTGATAACTGCACCTGGATTACTCGTAGCAGAGAAAATTTGCAGTGTGTTCCACAATAGTCCAGCCAGTGGATTAGTATGAGATAAGAATCATCTGGTAAACAATACAGATGATATACCAGCCCACATAATAAAATACTTCATATAAAGACCTTCATTAATAACACTGATATAATCACATTTGAATCCTTTGCTGAAGCAATCTCAAATTATGTAGATGGAATAAGATGAAAAAGAGCAAGTAAAAATCATCTGCAACTTAAAATTATACTTTGTGTGTGCATAATATCCTTCTGTTCAAATTCCTATTACAAAAAGCATGGGCTTAGAGCCTATGAATTATGAATTCAGAACAAAATTGGATTATTTAATTTAAATAAAACATACAACCAATGTATTTGGAATGTGAGATAATTGTGGGTAAAAAGTAGTGTTGCTACTCCTCATTTCTAATCATGTTGGCATAAAGGCACAAAATTAAAATGTGTCTTTGTACTTAAGAAAACAAGCATATCTACTTGGTTTAGATATATTTATAACTCATAAATTATAATATGAAGGTTTTTAAACATAAATAGAACTGTCCTAAAATGTAGTATTTTTCAAGTAAACTTTTATGGTGAGATAATTATAGATCATATGCAATTATATGAAATAAAATGAGAGATTCTGTTTACACTTTACCCAGTTTCTCCAAATAGTATTACCTTGCAAAAATTAGTACAGCTTCACTTTTCGGATCTGGGTATTGATACAGTCAAGACATAGAACAGTTTCATCACCACAAGGATCCCGTATATTGCCTTTTTACGGCCACATTCACTTCCTTCTAACCCACCCCCCTTAGTCCCTGGAAACCACCAACCTGTTCTCGATTTCTACAGTTTTATTATGTCAAGAATGTTCTACAACTAGGATCATATAACATACAACTTTTTGGGTTGGCTTTTTTTCACTAACCTCAATTCTATGGAAATTCATGCAGGCTGTTGCATGTATCAGTCATCCCTTCCTTTTTCTTGCTGAGTAATATTTCATGGTATGGGTATACCAGTTTGTTTAACTATTAACCCACAGAATGACGCTGGGGTTGCGCCCACTTTGGGGCGTTATGAATAGTGATGTTATACATATTAGTGTACAGGTTTTTGTGGGAACATGTTTTTATTTCTCTGAGATAAAATTGCACTCCTGTGTAGGAGTGCAATTGCTGGATCATATGGTAGTTGCGTGTTTAGTTTGTAAAGAAACCTCCAAACTGTTTTCCAGAATGGCTGTCCATAAATGTTTCCCTGTTTCTGCTTTCAAGATATCTGTTTTTGGGTTTCCTAAGTTTGATTGTCATGCATCTTGGCATGAATTTCTTTAGATTTATACTGTTTGTGGTTCACTAAGCTTTTGGAATTAGTAAGTTTGTGTCCTTTGCCAAATTTCCGAAGTTTTCAGTCATTATTTCTTTGAAGACTTTTTCAGTGCTGACCTACTTCTCCTTTTCCTTCAGGACTCCAGTGGGGGAAAAAAAAGTTAGGTCTTTTGTTATTTCCATGAGTCTCTGAGGCTCTGTGCATGTTTTCCAGTTTACTTTGTCTCTGTTTCTTAGTTTAGGTAATTTCTATTGTTCAATCTTCAAGTTCACTGATTCTTTCCTCTGTCACCTCCACATTTTTCAGTTCTAAGTTTTCAGTTTGGTTCTTCCTTATATATTCTGTTTCTTTGCTGAGACCTTCTAATATTTTAATTTATTTCAGGCATGTTTGTAATTGCTTATTGGAGCATTTTTGCGATGTCTACTCTAAAATATGTGTCAGAAAATCTTAACATCTCTATCACCTCTGTGGTTAGGTTACATTGGCTGTCTTTTCATTCAGTTTGAGGCCATCCTCACTGTTGGTATGATTAGTAATTTTTAATTGAAACATGGACATTTGGGGTATTATGCTATGAGACCCTAGATCTTAATTAAACCTTTCATTTTAGTTGATTCCTCTGATGCTGTTTTGATGGGAGAAGGAGGGATGCTGACTTATTTCTGCCAATTGGGGATAGAAGTCCAGGGTTCCCACTTAGCCTCCATTGAGACTTAAGGTGGGAAGGGCTTTTCATTAAGTTTGGGAGGCTGTGGAAGGTCCTGCCCCCCACTAGCCTCTGACTGATAGCTCCATATCTGGCAAGAGCCTTATTACTGCTCCAAGGTGGCTTTCACTGATGCCATGGGGGTGGCGGACTGGCCTCAGTACTGCTGGGCATTGGTAAAAGTCCTGATCTTCTACTAAGCTTCCACTGACATCACCCCAGTGGGGAGAAGAGAGTGTCTGCCTTGTTACTGGAGAGTGAGGCTAAAAGTCTGGATTACTTACTCATGAGGCAGTGGGGAAGTCTTGGCTCCCTACTCTTTGTTGCTGTGGTTGGGGAGTGGGGCTACAATTTTTGTGTTTTTGTTTTGTTTTGTTCTGTTTTCTATGGTGTTGGCTAAAACAAAGAGGTACTATCACTGTAAAATTTTCTGTCTTGCTAGGCTGCCTTTTCCCTTTTCTCTGGTCTTTTGGCTAGAGACAGCAAGGGTTTACTGGGGCTTTTAAAAAATCTGTACCTGTTGGCATTTCAGAGTTATAGGCTTCTTCAGCTCCAAGTAAGTCTGGTGTATATGAAATAATAATAATAATGGAATTCACCCTCATGTACTTTTTTGAGTACCAAAGGCCATAGCTGGTCTGCCTCAAAGTCTTCTTGTAATTGTTATATATATAATGTTCAGAGTTTTTAGTTATACTTAATAGGAAAGATAGGGAAAGGTATCCTTCCCATTGCTCCAACTTCCCAGAAACCGAAATCCAGAATGTAATAGATTAAACGCTAAGGTTGCTATATTTTCAATTATTACAATTAAATCTTTTAAAATACTTACCAAAAGGCTTTGGTTTCATTTTTTCTATTAGCTTCTAAGTGAATTTCTGGGACATACAATCATAATTTGGTCTGTGGATACAAAAAAGAATTTTAATCTGATTTAGTTATACAGAGAAAATATCATTTCCTTCCAGTCAGTGATAATATCAAGATGACATGTAATTCCTTACCAGGTGAATTAGAAGTGAACAAATCACATTAGATACATGAAGGTGAAAAGATAAATAAAAAAAAAATTATACTTAGCTCTGCTTTGAATGACAAAGACTAAAACAACTAGAATATTTTATTTCTTTCACTAGTGGATAATTGTGTGTTTGCCTAGGATAATGCCACAGGTCCCTTCCATTATTATTCTAAGCATCTTTAAATCAGGAACAAAATAAAATTATTTTCTTTCAATTGAAGATACTCATATCTACTCTAACAACATGAGCCTCTATTATCTGCTTTGTGCCGTGTTACTTCCCTTTATACAGCCCAAGCTTCTCTGAACTGGGCCACTTCCTCCTCCCTATTTCTTCCCAGCTCTAGTCTAAACTCCACTTGGAAGATGTACTCTCCATCTCTCCGTACCCCTCTTTATTCCATTTCAAGCCCTCCCACCTCTCAAGGTCTATCTCAAAAGTGCCAAGCACCAACCTACTCCGAGAATGGATTACCAGTTCTTGGAGGAAGCAGCACCTTTATTCAGCCTTAAAGAATGAATTAGTGTCCATTAGTTGTTTTTCCTGATGGATATTAACTCATTCTTTAAGGTCAGCTTAATACCGGGAGATGAAATAATCTGTACAACAAACCCCCATGACACAAGTTTACCTGTATAACAAACCTACATATGAACCCTAGAACTTAAAATAACAGTGAATTAAAAAATTAAAAAGAAGACCCGGGAAGTAAGCAGGCAGTACTGCCATGTAAAGCTTTATATCCAGCTTAGCAACTCAGGACTCTGTTTTCAAAAACAAATGCAAAAAAAGAATGAGTTAGAATTACTCATTACTGGAGGTGCAAGGCTGACTAGGGAGGGGAAGGAAGAGGTACAGGGCATTAGCATTCTTTGTTGGCAGACTGGGAAAATGAGTTAAGGAACAGAGAAGGAAAGCTACCTGATAGATGTCAGCAAGCTACCAACAGCTTTCTACTGACATCAATTCTGACAAGGATTGGTGAGAGATGAGGCTAGAAAGGAAGACAAGTATCACATCAGGAAGGATTTGGACCCATGAAAAATGTTATACTTTTGTAGGGGGTGCTCCTTCAGCTCATTGTGTAGAAAAATGGCATAGTTCCATTGGCAATTTGACACACTGGAGGCCCACTGATTATGGCCCTAATCTGGTCTTCACAGCTTTGCTTCCATTATTCTAGTATGAAGTCCCCAAACTCTTATCAGATGTGACTACTGGCTCTTACCTAAACACAACCCCTATCTTTCCTGCTTGATAATCTCACTCTGGAAAAGCAAATTCCATTTTGCCTGTCATCAGCAAAAATACATATAATGCTCTTCCAAGGGTGTTTGAGAGGATTAATGGGCTAACACATGAAAGTGTCCAATCTACTGTTTGTTGTCACTTATTAGGAGTACAGTTTTCTTCCTTCTTTCTGAAGATTTACCTAAATCGACTTCAAATTACAGTTATATGTATACCTGCTACAAAATTGCAAACTCCTTAAAGCTAGGACTATATTTCAAACAATGGCTCTAACCAGGGGAAATTTTGCCTTTTAGAGGGCATGTGACAATGTCTAGAGATATTTTTATTGCCTCAATTGTTGACAGTCTTGATTGTAGGATGTTATTGTTTAAACATTGACAACACATAACAGCCTCAATAAAAAAGTGCTTCCCAACCCAAAATGTCAGTGGTGACTAGAAATCTGCTTTAGTTCATCATTGTAGCCCAGGTAGCAATTAGAAGAGTTGCATGTTATAGGAGATTGGATTCGTCTCTTCTCACACTGCTAATAAAGACATACCCGAGACTGGGTAATTTAAAAAGGAAAGAAGTTAAATTGACTCACACTTCAGCATGGCTGGGGAGGCCTCAGGAAATTTACAATCAAGACAGAAGGGGAAGCAAAGACCTTCTTCAGATGGTGGCAGCAAGGAGAAGAATGAGAACAAAGGAGGAGAAAAGTCCAGTATAAAACCATCAGATCTTTTGAGAACTCACACACTATCATGAGAACAGCATGAAGGTAACTGCTCCCATGATTCGATTACCTCCCACCGGGTCCCTCCCACAACACATGGGGGTTATGGGAACTACAGTTCAAGATGAGATTTGAGTGAGGACACAGCCAAACCATATCAGAGACATTCAGAATTGTGGGAAATAATCTGAAACCCCTTTCTATAGGTAAATTTTATAAATTGCCACTGGGGAGGTAAAATTAAATTAGAAATTTATATTGTGTAGGATAATTGGAAGATAGCAGAGTTTATGAATCTTGGTTAATTTGGGGGACACAAATTTCCATTTGTAGTTAGAAGTGACCAATTTAAAAGCTAAAGTTCTCTTAATCAGCAAGCTTTTGTAACAAAATGCAGCAGGATTTACTTTTATATCAAAGGAGCTCCCCAGATAGTTAAAGAATGAAAATGAATATAATTAAAAGATAACTGGTAAGCAGAATGCAGTGCAGTGCATTGCCTTAGCTGCATTCTGGGAGAGTACACTTAATAATCAAGACTCTAGTGACACTTTAATGAGAAGTTTAAACTTATTGGCCATGAATCTCAGAATGTATCGATGCTTGTTACCTAGATTTTCATTTCAAAGAAATGAATTGATGAGTAAGAATTTTTTTAAAACAGTTTGTAATTAGGACAAATTGCTTTACAAATAATTTAATAAGCATTTAACACTGAAAAGAAGAGGAAAACTATTGATAAACCTGTAACATTTAGCCACATATAGTAAGAACTCAATGTGGAGGAAGAGGTGAAGCTATAAGCAATACCAAGGGGATTTAACCAAACCCATAGGCCGTTTACCTAGACACAGCCAGATCCAAGTACCAATGACAAGCACCCATGGCACTGGCTCACTCCATAAAAAGAGCATTTTCATGGGTCCTGGTGGATAAAAGATCATGATGTGTTAGTATAATCTCTATTTTTCCAGTACCCATGAAAATGCTCAAATCACTATGTGATTTGAGTTTGGACAAATCAAAATCTTTGCTAAAGCCAAACAGGAAAATAGGAGACATTGGTTTTTAATTAGTACTCGGAACTCTAAAAATAAGTCCCAAAAAAACAAAGACCTTGATGACTCTATTATATAAAGAAGTGGTTCTTACTATCACTATCTTATTGCCAATAGTTACATATAATTCAGAGAGAAACATGCTGATTTGATGAGTTTTCTAAAATATTTTTTAAAAAGAAAACTCATTCTTCTGATATAGCATCAGTGGTATTTATTTTTGACTCTCTAAGATGTGTACTGGTACAGATACTACAGTTGGGGGTAGAGAGGGCAGGGGGTACGCCTTCCCTCTCCTCCAGGATCTAAAAACAAAAGCGTTTGAAGACTGTGTTGCGTAAGTCTTCTTCCTTCAACTCTGCCTCCCCAGTGTGGGCACTGCTGCTTCCTGTATTGTCCAGGAATGACCACTGTTTTATCCTATGCCAGTTCTTTTTGGAAGATAGCTAGAATCTGCCAGAACGTGCTTTCTCTCTCAAATCCAAATTAGGGACTTAAAAGTTTCTTTTCACCAGAGGCCACTTTGTCTCCTAACAGTTCTGTGCTCATTAAATACCTATTAGTGTACCCTTTGACTTAAAATGTTCCACTCACATCCTCCAGAAGATCACTATCTGTCATCTAATGAAAAACAACTTCATTAGGCTTGTCGTGGCGGTTCCTTTTTTTCCCGTGCTTTTGCTTCCTGATTGAAGACTGCAGCTTTTCCTAATGTTTTCTTCCCCACACTGAATATTATTGTGTGGGGTCGGTCCTCAGCCAGATCAATGCCTGTCTGAAATGTCATTGTGAATAATCTTCATCACTATTTTGAGGACATACCTTTAAGGATTCCTCCAAACTAGATCAATTTGCAAAAAAAGAAAACAAATAGTTTTCCATTATCCAGATATTATATTTGTTTCTTTTGACTAGCGCTCATAAGTTGACTAAGTAAATATTGTACTAATAGGAAGGAATACAAAAACACCCAATCTGAGAAAATAGAGAGATCAAGTGACTTTGCTGTGCTCCTTTACAAGCACACAGACCTTTTTGTAGTGTTTCAGAAAAGACGATGCGACGTGTGTAATGCCATATTCAATGCATTTTGATGATACTCCCTACTTATAGGTGTCCATCTCGTCACTTCTCTGTAACATATTGTCTTAATTATACTCAGTATGCCCTGGCTCCTGTTACAGATCTGCATTTTCCTTACAAAGAACCCATGCAACAAACCACAGAATCACCTTAATGTCTTCCCTCAAAGCGTTTTTCTGACGGTCTGTGGGTGTCCAAGTTTTAGAATCGTAGGCTCTGAGCTAATGAAAAGTAAACTAGAAGTTGATGGGCACAAATGCAAATGTTAATCCACTAGTGAATGGTTATAAGTCTTTTTCTGTATTGAAAATAATTTGTTTTAGATTGCCTGGCAATTATCAAATCTTACACATAAATGCAGGTCAGAGAAAAACAGAGTAATATATGTATTTACAACACAGATGAGCATCATTTGAATGAGGAATCCACACTGAAGTCAAGGTCCAGTCCGATGAGCCATGTTGGTTGGAGCCCTAAGTCTGGTTGTAAACTGCCTGACTTTGAAAAGCCACTCTCCAGTGAGGTCTGGTGTTGGTGCCTTTTTCTGATGTCTAAAGCATCTCTGTTTTGTTTCAGCTGGCAGGTTTCATCTACGCCTGTTATGTTGTGAAATGTATAACTGAAGAAGAGGACAGCTGTAAGTATTAAAGCTCTATTCTGTTTCTTTCAAGTTCAAAGCATCTCCTTTACTGCCTCCTACTTAGCCTTCCTATTCCTCAGACAAGATCCTACAACACAGCATTAGAATGGAAAATAAGCCTTTTGTGCCCATCAGACTAAAGTGTTTCTCATAACAGTATCCAGCAAACTGAAGAATGGAGAAGCACCCATTTTGAAAACATAACTTCTTTCTTTTCATTGAAAACCTTTTAAAAATCATTTCCTCTTATAAACAATTCTAGTAGGGAACAGAGATGGGAGATTGGAGATGGAAATGATTTTAAAATGTGGCTAACTTGACCATTCTCTTTTTTATGATCCCTTTATTAGGTATTGATAACTAACCAGTTTTACCCAAGACTACAAATCCCCAAAATCAACAATTTGTAATAGTTGCTAAGATTCTTATAAAAACTGACTTCAGATTAATTCAGAGAATTTGTCTTTGGGAAATCAAATGTCCATCTGTCCTTTTTGTTCCTACTATTTGACACAAATGGCTAGAACTCTAACTATGTCAAAGTCTCAACATTGAGACATATTGCTTGATCCAGAGTTTAGATCACAGTACCCTCTTACAATCCTCCCAGTGGCTCTGTTGTTCTCTGCTCTCCGAAACATGGAGGGTAGAAGGTTTCATTCCATCCCTGCCCCTAAGGATCTAAAACAGGAGAACTGGGGAAAGTACTTCTATTCTCTGAGGGTACTATCATGAATAATTGCCTATATAGTTACATTTACTCTGAGGAAAAATCAGAATTGGGAATCATCTTTCTTGGTTTCAAAAAATATTTATAATGTTGGGTTTTTGAAACAGTAAGGAAAGAGGAAGGTGAGAATATGGTGATTTGAGGGAAACATCCAAAGATAAATATCTGTTTCTTCTTCCCTTTCCAATTATACTGGAAAGGAAGAGGCAATATCAAGTGATTAATGTAGAAGAGGCACTTTTCAATCGTACTCATACATGATCTAAAATCAGAAGTATACAGTATATAATTTATTTCATATATAAAAGGAAATAATGGTCCTTTCACTAAATAAGCATTTGTAAAATATTCCTCAGTATTTCAAGTGCTGTGTCAGCCTTTGGAGATTTTAGGATGAGTCATACATAATATTTTACCTGTAGGAACTTGCCAACTAGGAGGTTAAAACAAACATATGAGCAAATAAGTATGAAACTGTGTAGTGCACGCTGTGGGTAAAGAGAAGAAAGAGATCAGGAGAAGGTTTATAGAGAACAGTTTTGAGCTTGATCTAGAAAGATGAATAGATCTTTATTGTGTAGCTGATATGGAAGTGAGGGGTGGTCCCAGGCAAAAGGTGAAAAAGCATATCACGGCCAGATTAATGTGACTGAATTTGTTTCCTGTGCTACAGGTAGACAGCTGGAGAAAATTGGAAAAACAAGTATGGGTGAGATAGTAGAAAAATGGGTATGAAGATTAAGGAGTTTGGGCTTTATATAATAAAATCACAGATGAAAGAGCAGGTAGCTTATAAAAAGAGATTAACATAATCAAAAATGTACTTTAGAAAAAATACATTAGCATCATTATAAAGAAGAGACTCAAGAGGGGGAAAGATTAGGGAAAAGAGAACTAGTTAAGACACCATGAAAGTGAGACATGAGATAATGTGAATCTGGACAAGGATCAGTATTGGAGATAGAGAGGATAGATGTGCCATGAGACATGCCGAAATGACATGATTAGTGGGCAATGGTGGGTACTGTGATAAGGGAAAAAGAGGAGACTGTTAGATTACTGGGTATCTGATGCAAGTGAATGGGTAGATGGAATTGCCACTTGCGAAGAAAAATGGGAATAAGATCACTAGTTCAGTTTGCACAGGTTGAGTTTGAGGTACCTAGCGCCTATACAAGAGAAGACATCCAGTAAGCACTTGTCTTATACAGAAAAGATTTATTCAAAGATTAGGAAAGGCAAAATATATACGGATTTTAAAATGTGTGGACCAAACAAACTATGTAAGTTCATTGAGATATTACCATTCAGTGTCTGTGTGCCAAATCCCTGATGAAGGGGAAGTCCCCAGTTGATTTTCATATGGAAGTTGGGCTTTCTCTGGGCTATGTTGTTTGATTTCATTTCACAATGATACCAGTGCATTTTTATCTTCAGACAATACTTACTGACATACCATGTCTCCTACATGCATAATCAGTATTTTAGCAGAATAGCACCTCTCAAAGGAAATCTCAGAAATGCTAGTTCCACAAGACATACTGCTCAAAAAAAAAAAAAAAAAGATTCCAAAGCCAAGTAAGTTTGACACTGAAAATTTAGAATGCACATTTATATATTAACATTTCTGAGAGTACTGCCAGAAAAAAGTATGTCCTTTTTTTTGTTTTCTAACCCACAGTTTTGTTTTAATCACATTACCTTGAGGCCAGATACAGATCAAAGAGAAAAACCAGAAAGAGTTCTAAGGCTTGATTATATCCACAGTTCCCCGGGGAGAATACCACATGCCCCACATGGGAAGGAGTGGGGTCAGCCATGAGGCAGAGAGAGAGTGGAACCTTTAGTTCAAATCCTACAAGAAGAAATGGATGAGGCAGGGTAGGAAGGCTTATTAGGATAGGTTAGCTATGTTGCAAAGTTGCGCCCCATGAAATTCATGTTCACTGTGACTATTAATGCATAGGTTTAGAGCTATCTAAAATCTCCACATGCTTTTTGGGGATGAGCCAGGGCTTACTTGGAAACAGCTAGTGGTCATTTTGTAGATGTTAAAGCATCAATTTATAGAAATTAAAAGTATGGTTAATGCAAGTCTCCCAAAATATTTGAACACAAGACTCCTGTTTTCCATCAACCCCTGCCCCTCTCCGACCTGGACACCTCCAGAAAAAAGCACTTGATATTCTGGAGAATTCTTCTAAGGGAATTCTGCCCTAAATCAAGTTTTGGCCAAAGCAATGTAAATTCAAGGCGATTCAAAGTCACCAATATCTGTTGAAAGATCAAGTTATCTCTCAATCATCTAATAAGCCTTTTTCCCCTGAAAGACTCCAAAAAATAACATATATGTTTTTATGTGTATCTTGACCACACACCACATCTGCCTTTATTAATCCAAAACACAAGCAGACTTCTCAAAGACACGTTTTATCATGTTAGTCTTATTGCTCAGTGCGCAAAATATGAACCCTTCTAAATTTTTATACACAAGTAGACTGACGCTTGCCTCAGATGTTCATGGGACTAGTAAACAGGTGGGAGGAGATGTTCATTTGGGCTCGCTGTCTGTCCAGTTGTCTTTGGTGACTTTCAGTTAGGTTCATTTACTTGTAGTCATTCACACCTAGACAGTTATGAGTATCTTTTGGTTACAATGCTTTGGGTTGATATTCTCTGTATGTAATCACTTTCCTGATGTTTATCCTCAGACGATGCCTGGACATATGACTTCCGATCCATAGAGTAAAAAAGGTTTGACATTTCTGTATCATTTTGGTAATTATATTACAAAAAATTATCCTGATCCTTAAAAAGTTGGGTGAAAGGTTAAAATAAAACCACTCTCAAGCAAACCCTGAAACATGGGAGGGATTTAATGTACATGTAAACACTGAGAGGGTCTCTATGTGCCTATTTTTGCCCACTGTGGATTTGCAATAATGCATCATTATTTGCAGTGAAACATAGTGGCAGGAGTAGGTGCTAGCTACCTGCTTGCCAAATTGGTTAAGTTTCCATTACTAAGAGCCTTATGAGGAACAGCGGACAGTTTTGGCTCTGTAGCTTGTGCTTAGAATGGCTGTGGAGATAAGGGCCCAATGATGGCAACTGGACAAAATGTTCTTTAAGTCAACATGAAGCTGATCAGTTATGTGCTCAGTTCTGATACCTCAGCTTCACAGCAACAGGTGTATCCAGGAAACTTCAGAGGAAAGAGGCAGAAACCTCCAGGAAGCAATGGAGAGGGTTTGAGCTCAATGAGCAAAGACTCAAGCCTAGACCCAATGAAATACCAATAAATCATCATTGAAACAGAGAGTTAGGCTCATGAACATCAAATGCCTGAGAACTTTTTTCCCTTATGTATCCTTTTAAGCAGTATCTCATTACTCTTCTAGGGCCCAGTTTGATTGATATTTATAGAGATACTGTTTTAGTTCCTTTGGGGTACTATAGCAACATATTATAAGTAAGGTGGCTTATAAATGACAGAAATTTATTTCTCACAGTTTTGGGGGCTGGAAAGTCCATCAAGGTACCGGCAGATATGGCTTCTAGTGAGGGCTGGTTTCCTTGCTCATAGGTGATACCTTCTTGCTGTAGCCTCACATGTGGAAAAGAGGCAAGGCAGCCTTCCGGGGCCTCTTTTAGAAGGTCACTAATCCCATTTCTGAGGGCTCCACTGTCATGACATAACCACCTCCTACAGGCCCTACCTCCTTACACCATTACATTGGTGATTATGTTTCAAAATATGAATTGGGGAGGGACACTAACATTTACATCATAGCAGACACTATATTGCAAGGGTTTCTGTTTTTTTCCATTGAAAAAAATCTGGACCTTGAAGTTTACATCTCTGACCCTTTAGTTATCTAAGCCAGAGCCACAGTTTGGCAGGCCAGCTGGTTGTGCAGACTCACAGGGTGCCACTGCCATCTGCTGTACCTACCAGGGGATGACAGCAACCCTCAGAGCAGAGATCCCAAATTAGATGTGACACTCCTTCCCCCATGAATTAGTTAGCTAGGGATGCCATAAAAACATACCACAGACATAGTGGCTTAAACAACAGAAATTTGCTCTCCAAAATCTAGGTGTTAGAAACCTCAGGTTTGGTTTATCCTGAGGCCTCTGTCTTTGCCTTGTAGACGGCACTTTCTGTTGGATTAGGGCCCTATCCTTATGACCCCATTTAACCTTCATTACCTCTTCAAAGGGCCAATTTCCAAATATAGTCAGGCATATTAGGAGTTAGGCCTTCAACATATGAATTTGAGGGGGATCACAATTCAGTCCACATCCAAATACACACACACGCACACACACTCCACGTGTGTCCTGGACACTTGAAAATATCTGTGGGGCACAGATTGAGGATAGATGCAGCTCACTGGCCCATCAGATGCCTGTGGGTAAGAGGCTTCAGGGCTGTATTGCTGCCAGGCCAGCTCCATACTCACTGCCACCAGGCAGGAATTCCCGCTCAAGATCTCCTGCTGTGGTGTGATCTGCCTCTAGATGAGTAGCTTCTCACCAGGATAAAAGCTGAGGTCCCTGCTCTAGAGGATGTGGCTTGACCTTAGAACCCTATTTGAGTGGGCCACCTTAACAACATACTTTCATATATTTGTTCATGAAAAGGCAGTGATACATCTTGGGAGAAAAGGCTTTCTCCAGGAAAGCAGGCATCTCGCTGTGCTGTCTTTGTGGCAGGGCTCTCTGCTGTCTCATCTGTCACCAGCCATGCAGAGCTTTCCTTATGGCCTCCCGTCTTCTATTCCCCTCTACTTGTTCTCTTTTACACTATTCTGTAAAGAAAGAAAATGTTTGGAGATTCCTGGTCGGGTGTGCCTTTTATTATAAATGTGGCTCTTCTGTCTCACTTCATCCTCGGTTTTTCCCCACTGCAGTTGGATGTCCACTCACAGTGATAGAATCAGGAACTGTCCTCAGTGCTTTATTAGCACTGTTCGATGTGGCAATTAAAAGGAAGCCATGCAGCCACAGAAAATATTGCTAATCCATGTTAGCAAAAAAAAAAAAAAAAAAAAAAATCATCATGACTTCTCAATTTTTATTACTTCTCAATTTTTATTATGTATTCTTGTAAATCACTGGCTTAATAGTTAAACTAAAACTAAATGTTGGTCCTCTAGCAAATGGGTTCATTTTACTAAGTAGTCATTTTCTTTGCTAAAAGAGATTCAATGTATTTGCAAATGTTGTTTAATGATGAAATCATCTGGAGAGAGACATGGAATATCATTTAAAAAATAATATCCTAAGGGACTTATTTTGAAATCAATGCAGAAAAATGAATTCAAGATGCTTAAACTTGGAGTTAGACACATGCACATTTACACCAACCAAGCACAAATGCATCAAAACCTGTCCTGAATTCCTCAAAATCAACTGGCCTTGGGATAAAAGTCACAATCAATTTATTGAATCTTTCATTTGAAAAGAAAACCACAGGAAATTATTCACTTCTCTGGGGCTAATAATTTTCTGTTATTTTTGTTTGATTTTTCTTCTAAAGCCTGCTGGCCTACACTTCTGTGTATTGAATTCCATTCTGTATGTTTTTATCATTTCTCCAGTTTGTCAGGATCATTGGATTTGAATGCAGTTCTTTGAGCACAATCGCGTACTCTCAACCATGGGGGAGGGTAGACATGGGAGCAGGGAAAACTATTTCCCCTTGAAAAAAATATTTGTTTCTTCCTGTCTATAAAGGAATGCAGAAAGCATAGACAATACAGATAAATAAAAAAAGGAAAATTAAAATAACCCCATAATTCTGAGTTCTGATACTCAGTTCAAATTTTGGTATATTATGTGCCTGCCTGCCTGCCTGCCTTCTTACCTTCCTTCCTTCCTTCCTTCCTCCCCTCTTCTTTTCTTCCTTTCTTCTTATCTATCTATTATCTATCTATCTATCTATCTATCTATCTATCTATCTATCTATCATCTAACTGCATTCCTCCCATCTGATTGTTAGGGCCATATCATACATTCTGTTTGGTAGTCTGAGCTTTCTTTCACGTTTATAAATCACTCTTCAAACATAATCTAAGAGGAGACAATTAGAAGTTCAGAAAAGGTGCCAAGTTCTTGGGTGCCAGGTTGACAGGGAGAATTGTGAGAAGAATATGTTTATTTTACTTATCTGGCATCATACTGAAGCAATCAAGTAAAATGTAACATAATCTTAGTATCTTACTAATTTATCTTCTCTTTATAACATTTGTCTTATGAATTTGATGGTGACTGACTGAAAAAATTTTGTCCATATCTGCCAGTTTCCCACTAAACCAAAACTTGGTATTTATTTTGTTATCTCTGAACAGGATCACAAAGCCTGAAGACCCAGGCTTTGCACGCCACTAATCTCTCACTATGCCTACAGAATCCTAGTGGGGCCAAGGTGAAAAAGGTGTCATCTTTCACCTTTCCTTCCCATTCCCCCCTCTGCCCAAAGCACAGAAGTTACTGCATTTATTTAATTTAATATCGATTTGTTCTGCTTATGATTTGTTTTGAACTATGAGTTGTACTGGGTTAAAAATGATGGAAACCTGCCTACTGCTCTATTTCAGCACTTTAATTTTATAGGCCCAGAAAGATTAAATGACTTGCCCAAAGCCACTAGCTCATTCATGACCTTCCGACATTCAAATACAGTACACACTGATTCACTCAGGATGGAAGAATAGTAGGAGACACCATCAAGATCCACCCCTGTCTTGTTCCCTGCTGTATCCTTAGCATCTACCAAATCCCCAACCTAGAAGAGGACTCAGGAAGTATTTGCAAAATAAATGAATGAATCAATTGGATCTCCACAAACATTCCTTGACCTTTATGGAAACTGCCAAGGAAATATGACATCTCCTCAGAATTCAATGTATTCAGAGTAAATGAATAAGTAATTTGAATAAAGCACCTGTCATTTTCTAAACAAGAGTAAGAAAGACATGCTGCCATGTATAAAACTAAGTGATCAACACCTGAGACAGATGCTACATGCGAATTTTCCTCCTGTCAATCAAATTCAAGTTCCTATTAGTGACCACAGCATTCTCCAACAGTGTTACATGTAATAATTTTCACATAATCTCCCCAGATTGGTGAGCAATGGTTTGTTTTTCAGCCTTCTATTAAATTGCTCCCTCTTGTGATCATCTAACAGAAAACACATAAGCTATATTTTTAAATTTGGATGTTCAGGTCAAAACTGAGTCTGATTCTTCAACATTCACTTCTTATTTTCTTTCTTTTCTAATAATATCGCCTCCATTATTCTATATTGCTTTTCACTCATACACATACACACACACACATACTATGTTCATCGTTAAATAAATCTGATATTTCCAAGTCAAGAATATGAGGGGAAAGAAGCTGATTCATTCTCTCTCCTCTGTTAATTAAGAACAATCAGAGCTTTGTTTCTACAACACAATATAGAGGTAACACTATTCAGATAAGCAAAGGAGGGCCTTTAACTGGGGTGTAACAAAAGAGGTATTTTTTATGCAAAGAATATTTCTGGCAGGGTAAGTTGAAGTTATCCAGCAGATGAAGAATACTGATGTTGTTTTAATAGCCTTAATAAGAAAGAAACCATGTGACTTGAAGGAGGAGAAAGTAGTGACATTTACAGAAATGAATAAACAAAAACCTTGATTTTGCTGACTCTGCTTCTTCCAGTGGTGCAGACCCCCACAGCCTACCAGCAGTGGGTGTCCTGGACTAGCTACCTCACCATCTCTCTCTACCTTCTCATGGATAATGGCATGAGAAAGAAAGCATTCAAGTAGCAGAAAAGTGGGGTGATTTTTGCAGCAGAATGTTGACATACACACTCACAAAATAAAATCACTGGGATTCTTTAGTCCCATCTCCAAACAACAAATGAGAGCAAGACAAAACGCTGGCACAGGAAAATGAAGTCTCTTTAAAAGCCCTCCAAATCAGAGACATGCTGAGAAGATGACATTCAAAGTTAGTCTCTTGACGAATGATGCTGGCCGGTGCCCACTTCCTTATGCCCGGTTCTGCTTTAGTTTTAGAAGTGGCATCTCATAGAAACAGAAGGCTGTGTTCAGAGGTCTCCTTCTTAACAGCAGGAGGGCTAAGAAACACTAGATCTCTAAGGATGGCCACCAGGTTTGCGGAATGAAAACATCTGAGCAAAGCAGCCTACACCTAGCTACTGAAAGAGAGCCTTGGAAATAAGTGAGCTGGAGGCAAACCCTCAATCCTGTGTGACATTTAAATGAGGCTGCTCTGGCAGAAGATACTCACGGAGGCCTCCGCTATGACTGGTTGGCGTTGTGTGGCAGGGAGTGAAAGAGAAACAAACTTAAAGCTCACAGGAGGTGCGGTTTGTTTAAATAATAGAAAGTAATTAGGCTGAAGACAAAAATCAGTGATGGCATTTTATAATTACGATTAATTTAAAGTTTAATTTCCTTTGGTGCTAAAATCTTACTTAAAACATTTATCGGGAAAGGAAATTAGGACGTTACTATCAAGAGGCACAGAGTGCTTCTGGGAATCCATGCCTATTATCACTTGAAAATTAGGTTAGGGCCAAAGTGGGAATTTCAATTCATTTTTGAGTATAATAAATGGTGACCAGACCTCAGAGTCAGTGGGGTTGGCAGGGGCAGGCAGTGTAACATTTGCATTTGCTTGTTTGTTTGTTTGTTTATAGGATTAATTGCAAATGTTTTCAGCAAAGAGTGTAGTTTATACATTAACAATCCTGCTACAAAATGAAAATTGGATATGGATTGCTGCCTTTGTAACTAATGAAGCTGATGTTGAATTCCCAAATGTGGCACTGCAAAGGGAAGCACACAGTCACACATCCATACACCTTCACCACTGAATTAAACGGAACAGGGGACAGTATTTCTGTTGGCTCCAAACCCGTCACCCCGACTGTCCTATCCAAGGCCCCAACTTTTTCATCATTCTGTTTTCCCATTCATGCCTCAGTTTCCAATTGCCATTTTCAGCAGCTAATCTTTCTGGAAACTCACTTAGTAAAATCAATGCATAATAGTAACAAGCAGATGGAAATAACTCCTTTACACTAATTTTTTTCATTCATTATGCCTTTGTGGATTTGCTCATTTTAAATATTATATTGCTAACATTCATATGTGAACTAATCCCAGAAATATGGAATTGTGTATAATCATAAAGTTATGAACAATATTAGTGGTCACCTACTGTAATCCCCCAATTTTACAGTTAAGGAAAGGGACACTCAAATTGACTTGCTCAAAGTTAAACAATCATTTAGAGGCAGAACTGGGAGCAGAACATCGCTGTCAAGATTCGAAGTATACTTTCCATGTCACTTCACTGTGATACCTGAGAGAGATTCTTGTAACAAATAATTATTGAGCAACTACTGGGTGGTAGGCTATTTATTGTCACTAGGGATAAAGCAGGGAACCAAACAGGTACCATCTTTGCCTTTATGGCGCCTACAATCCAGTGCACAATTTACGAGAGAAAGAGAAATTACAGTAAATCTTGATGAAAGTTCAGACAAGGAAAGGGGATGGAGGTGCCATGGGAATGATTCCAAGAAGAACTCATGCAGTTTAGAAGAGGGAAAGAAATTCTTCCCCGAAGACATGATGATTCAGCTGAAACCTAAGGGATAAATTAGAGGACTATGTAGAACTTAACAAAGACAGGCACGCCTTTTTTAAAAGGTACTACTTTTCGGATCCATATTGACCAAAGGTACACCGTAAGTCACACAGGAATGATCTTAAGTTCTTTTAATGAACTCGATATAGGAAATCTAGTTTCAGCTTTCCCAAATACCAATAAAAATGTTAGAGTAACCATGGGACATTCTCTTTCCTGAAATTGCTACTGTTGTTCTAAGAAGATGATTAATTTAGGCTCAGGAGTTTTGTGATTTTCATTTCTGGAGGCTGTAAAATGATACAAAGATTATGTTAGCAAAGATTACAAGGTAAAGAATATTTCTCTAATAGGTAATTACAGCACGCATGTTTTATTTTTTTATTTCCCTAAATATGCATATGTTAATGTACCCAAAACCCTAATTAAAACTCCTGCATTTAAATGGGCTGTTGATTCTAAATATATTCTGGATGTCAGCTGAGAAGACATACCCAATCATGTCTAACGAGCTCACCTATAGCTTGTAATAACTGCTCCTTCCAATTTCATCTGAAAGACATGTCATATATAATTGAAAGCAATTCTAACAGGGGAGAACAAAACAAAGACTGGAAAATCTAATCCATCCAAATGGCATGGCACAAAGTGAGCCCAGGCACATTTAAGATGAAGTTGGCTTAGTTATTTCACCATAATCTTCATTACATGCTTCTCTACATTTACTGAAAGCATCAAAAGATATCGGATTCATAATTTTCTGACTCTAGCTTTACAGTTTCTCCACCCTGTTAGTTCTCATCTCCCTCATCACCACTCCCTTCATCTGCCACCTTCATTCCCTTCATCGTGGATCACCTTCATTATGGTGGAAAGAGGCTTCTCTAAGATGCCCAGTTCTGAAATTTTCTGCCTGACCATAAACACCTATCTATTCTTTTTCCTTGTTCTACTGCCTCCCTCTTGGAAAAAGTTTTCTTCACCCTTATTTGGAAGCTTCCCTCCACCTGAACCTATGTTTTTCTCATGCTTTGGGTCTTCCTACTCATTATCTATCTCCAGAATTAGCAAAAGCAATGGTGTTCTCATTAGCATTCTTGATTTCCTTCCTTGCTTGCACATCACTTGTGCTTAGACTTTCAACATCTGTGCCTGACGATGCCCAGATTCAATTTCTCCACTTCTAATCCTGGGTGGTTGCTCATTGCTGGAGAAAGTAACTAAACCCGACAGCAAATGTGTACTTGCTACACTCAGCTGGGTGTTGTCTCCTGCTCAACCATGCTTCATTCTTCTGCATTTGACAAAGTGGCACTCTGGCCAGAGGACCTGTTCCACACCTTTCCAGGATCCTTAAACCAAGTACTGATACCTGAGAAAGTCAAATCTATCAAATAGAAACTTGATTTTCCCTCAAGAACCTCGACAAATCTCTGTACAGGCAATTATTCTTTTGTCTTCTTGCAACCCTGCCCAAATCTGAGAGGAACAGGTAAGCTTCTCCTCTACAAAGTAATCCATCCACCAAGCTTTGGCCTATCATTCTGCCTGATCCAGGACACTGAGCTCTCACTGTCTTCATTCTTGACCATTCACTGGACAGTTCCTTTTGCCCACAAATGTGGCAAAGCCTCATAGACCACAGACAAGGCCAGCCCCAAATTCTTTGTGTTCTTTCTGATAATATACAAGGCCATTTCCAAAAGGATTTGAAATATGGAAATTCAGTTCTATGTAATTTTTTAAACATTTAACTTATTTTTTTCTACAGTATGTCACACAGGCTGTTCCTGTTGCTTGTCCAATCACAGTTAATCAACTAAGTGGGCATCTGAAGGCTCTCCATAGACCTCCCTCTGGTCTCTTCAGCTTCCGTGGATGTCTTCTACACTTTTGTCACTCTATATAAAATTTTAGTAAATTCTAATACAAAGTTCTCTCTTTTGAGCCTTGTCTCCATCTACTCTCCTAGCCTTGGAAATGCTAATTATCTGAGTAAAGAGCCTAAATGTGCATTTTGAAGCATAATTCCAATCATTCCTTTTGTATAAATCCTTTTTGAAAAGAGAGGAGATCCCAATCCTACTCATAGTGTATTTTTAATATATATACCTCTACGTATTACACACATATGACACCTGATTCTCTCAATAACCCTTCGAAGCTGAAATTGCTTGATTATCCTCACTTTACAGAGGAAGAAATTAAGGCTCAGAGCAATTGTGACCTGATTATAGGTCCAATGATGGTAAGAAGTAAAGGCACAACCTGAGCACAGGTCTTCTGACTCCAAAGCCCCCCATCTTGATGCTACCAAACAGATTCTACAACAATGTATCAAGTAGTGGCATTATGATATATCAAGTACTGGCATTATATTATTAAAAGACTACCTGATAACAAGATCCAGGTCTCAGCAGAAAACCATCATTTGTTTCTTAAAATCTCACCTAAGGCACTGCCCTCACTGAGAATTAGCAGATATGAACAAGAACAACAATACAAAATAGTTTATCAAGTGAACCTTATATTTCATTTTTTATTAGGCCTTTAGAACCAAAAGCTTAAAGTGATTTTTCAGCTAACGATATACTTTATTTATTATGATACTATTATAGCTATTGCTTTTCACTTTCATTGTTTAGCACGTGTGAATGTGTTACCAAGCTTAAAATATTAAAGATCTGGGGGAGGAGCCAAGATGGCCGAACAGGAACAGCTCCGGTCTACAGCTCCCAGCGTGAGCGACGCAGAAGACAGGTGATTTCTGCATTTCCATCTGAGGTACCAGGTTCATCTCACTAGGGAGTGCCAGACAGTGGGCGCAGGTCAGTGGGTGCAGCGCACTGTGCGTGAGCCGAAGCAGGGCGAGGCATTGCCTCACTCGGGAAGCGCAAGGGATCAGGGAGTTCCCTTTCCTAGTCAAAGAAAGGGGTGACAGACGGCACCTGGAAAATCGGATCACTCCCACCCGAATACTGCACTTTTTTAACGGGCTTAAAAAATGGCGCACCAGGAGATTATATGCTGCACCTGGCTCCGAGGGTCCTATGCCCACGGAGTCTCACTGATTGCTAGCACAGCAGTCTGAGATCAAACTGCAAGGCGGCAGCGAGGCTGGGGGAAGGGCGCCCGCCATTGCCCAGGCTTGCTTAGGTAAACAAAGCAGCCGGGAAGCTCGAACTGGGTGGAGCCCACCACAGCTCAAGGAGGCCTGCCTGCCTCTGTAGGCTCCACCTCTGGGGGCAGGGCACAGACAAAAAGACAGCAGTAACCTCTGCAGACTTAAATGTCCCTGTCTGACAGCTTTGAAGAGAGCAGTGGTTCTCCCAGCACGCAGCTGGAGATCTGAGAATGGGCAGAATGCCTCCTCAAGTGGGTCCCTGACCCCTGACCCCTGAGCAGCCTAACTGGGAGGCACCCCCCAGTAGGGGCAGACTGACATCTCACACGGCCGGGTACTCCTCTGAGACAAAACTTCCAGAGGAACGATCAGACAGCGGCATTCGCGGTTCACAAAAAACCACTGTTCTGCAGACACCGCTGCTGACACCCAGGCAAACAGGGTCTGGAGTGGACCTCTAGCAAACTCCAACAGACCTGCAGCTGAGGGTCCTGTCTGTTAGAAGGAAAACTAACAAACAGAAAGGACATCCACACCAAAAACCCATCTGTACATCACCATCATCAAAGACCAAAAGTACATAAAACCACAAAGATGGGGAAAAAACAGAGCAGAAAAACTGGAAACTCTAAAAAGCAGAGCATCTCTCCTCCTCCAAAGGATCGCAGTTCCTCACCAGCAATGGAACAAAGCTGGATGGAGAATGACTTTGACGAGTTGAGAGAAGAAGGCTTCAGATGATCAAACTACGAGCTACAGGAGGAAATTCAAACCAAAGGCAAAGAAGTTAAAAACATTGAAAAAAATTTAGACGAATGTATAACTAGAATAACCAATACAGAGAAGTGCTTAAAGGAGCTGATGGAGCTGAAAGCCAAGGCATGAGAACTACGTGAAGAATGCAGAAGCCTCAGGAGCTGATGCAATCAACTGGAAGAAAGGGTATCAGCGATGGAAGATGAAATGAATGAAATGAAGCAAGAAGGGAAGTTTAGAGAAAAAAGAATAAAAAGAAACGAACAAAGCCTCCAAGAAATATGGGACTATGTGAAAAGACTAAATCTACGTCTGATTGGTGTACCTGAAAGTGACGGGGAGAACGGAACCAAGTTGGAAAACATTCTGCAGGATATTATCCAGGAGAACTTCTCCAATCTAGCAAGGCAGGCCAACGTTCAGATTCAGGAAATACAGAGAACACCACAAAGATACTCCTCGAGAAGAGCAACTCCAAGACATATAATTGTCAGATTCACCAAAGTTGAAATGAAGGAAAAAATGTTAAGGGCAGCCAGAGAGAAAGATCGGGTTACACACAAAGGGAAGCCCATCAGACTAACAGCGGATCTCTTGGCAGAAACTCTACAAGCCAGAAGAGAGTGAGGGCCAATATTCAACATACTTAAAGAAAAGATTTTTCAACCCAGAATTTCATATCCAGCCAAACTAAGCTTCATAAGTGAAGGAGAAATAAAATACTTTACAGACAAGCAAATGCTGAGAGATTTTGTCACCACCAGGCCTGCCTAAAAGAGCTCCTGAAGGAAACACTAAACATGGAAAGGCACAACCGGTACCAGCCACTGCAAAATCATGCCAAAATGTAAAGACCATCGAGACTAGGAAGAAACTGCATCAACTAACGAGCAAGATAACCAGCTAACATCATAATGACAGGTTCAAATTCACACATAACAATATTAACTTTAAATGTAAATGGACTAAATGCTCCAATTAAAAGACACAGACTGGCAAATTGGATAAAGAGTCAAGACCCATCAGTGTGCTGTATTCAGGAAACCCATTTCACATGCAGAGACACACATAGGCTCAAAATAAAAGGATGGAGGAAGATCTACCAAGCAAATGGAAAACAAAAAAAGGCAGGGGTTGCAATCCTAGTCTCTGATAAAACAGACTTTAAGCCAACAAAGATCAAAAGAGACAAAGAAGGCCATTACATAATGGTAAGGGGATCAATTCAACAAGAAGAGCTAACTATCCTAAATATATATGCATCCAATACAGGAGGACCCAGATTCATAAAGCAAGTCCTGAGTGACCTACAAAGAGACTTACACTCCCACACATTAATAATGGGAGACTTTAACACCCCACTGTCAACATTAGACAGATCAACGAGACAGAAAGTCAACAAGGATACCCAGGAATTGAACTCAGCTCTGCACCAAGTGGACCTAATAGACATCTACAGAACTCTCCACCCCAAATCAACAGAATATACATTTTTTTCAGCACTACACCACACCTATTCCAAAATTGACCACATAGTTGGAAGTAAAGCACTCCTCAGCACATGTAAAAGAACAGAAATTATAACAAACTATCTCTCAGACCACAGTGCAATCAAACTAGAACTCAGGATTAAGAAACTCACTCAAAACTGCTCAACTACATGGAAACTGAACAACCTGCTCCTGAATGACTACTGGGTACATAACGAAATGAAGGCAGAAATAAAGATGTTCTTTGAAACCAACGAGAACAAAGACACAACATACAAGAATCTCTGGGACGCATTCAAAGCAGTGTGTAGAGGGAAATTTATAGCACTAAATGCCCACAAGAGAAAGCAGGAAAGATCCAAAATTGACACCCTAACATCACAATTAAAAGAACTAGAAAAGCAAGAGCAAACACATTCAAAAGCTAGCAGAAGGCAAGAAATAACTAAAATCAGAGCAGAACTGAAGGAAATAGAGACACAAAAAACCCTTCAAAAAATTAATGAATCCAGGAGCTGGTTTTTTGAAAGGATCAACAAAATTGATAGACCGCTAGCAATAAAGAAAAAAAGAGAGAAGAATCAAATAGACACAATAAAAAATGATAAAGGGGATATCACCACTGATCCCACAGAAATACAAACTACCGTCAGAGAATACTACAAACACCTGTACACAAATAAACTAGAAAATCTAGAAGAAATGGATGAATTCCTCGACACATACACTCTCCCAAGACTAAACCAGGAAGAAGTTGAATCTCCGAATAGACCAATAACAGGATCTGAAATTGTGGCAATAATCAATAGCTTACCAACCAAAAAGAGTCCAGGACCAGATGGATTCACAGCCAAATTCTACCAGAGGTACAAGGAGGAACTGGTACCATTCCTTCTGAAACTATTCCAATCAATAGAAAAAGAGGGAATCCTCCCTAACTCACTTTATGAGGCCAGCATCATCCTGATACCAAAGCCAGGCAGAGACACAACCAAAAAAGAGAATTTTAGACCAATATCCTTGATGAACATTGATGCAAAAATCCTCAATAAAATACTGGCAAACTGAATCCAGCAGCACATCAAAAAGCTTATCCACCATGATCAAGTGGGCTTCATCCCTGGGATGCAAGGCTGGTTCAATATACGCAAATCAATAAATGTAATCCAGCATATAAACAGACCAAAGACAAAAACCACATGACTATCTTAATAGATGCAGAAAAGGCCTTTGACAAAATTCAACAACGCTTCATGCTAAAAACTCTCAATAAGTTAGGTATTGATGGGACGTATCTCAAAATAATAGGAGCTATCTATGACAAACCCACAGCCAATATCATACTGAATGGGCAAAAACTGGAAGCATTCCCTTTGAAAACTGGCATAAGACAGGGATGCCCTCTCTCACCACTCCTATTCAACATAGTGTTGGAAGTTATGGCCAGGGCAATTAGACAGGAGAAGGAAATAAAGGGTATTCAATAGGAAAAGAGGAAGTCAAATTGTCCCTGTTTGCAGATGATATGATTGTATATCTAGAAAACCCCATTGTCTCTGCCCAAACTCTCCTTAAGCTGATAAGCAACTTCAGCAAAGTCTCAGGATACAAAATCAATGTACAAAATCACAAGCATTCTTATACACCAATAACAGACAAACAGAGAGCCAAATCATGAGTGAACTCCCATTCACAATTGCTTCAAAGAGAATAAAATACCTGGGAATCTACCTTACAAGGGACGTGAAGGACCTCTTCAAGGAGAACTACAACCCACTGCTCAAGGAAATTAAAGAGGATACAAACAAATGGAAGAACATTCCATGCTCATGGGTAAGAAGAATCAATATGGTGAAAATGGCCATACTGCCCAAGGTAATTTACAGATTCAATGCCATCCCCATCAAGCTACCAATGCCTTTCTTCACAGAATTGGAAAAAAATACTTTAAAGTTCACATGGAACCAAAAAAGAGCCTGCATCGCCAAGTCAATCCTAAGCCAAAAGAACAAAGCTGGAGGCATCACACTACCTGACTTCAAACTATACTACAAGGCTACAGTAACCAAAACAGCATGGTACTGGTACCAAAACAGAGATATAGATCAATGGAACAGAACAGAGCCCTCAGAAATAACGCCACATATCTACAACTATCCGATCTTTGACAAACCTGAGAAAAACAAGCAATGGGGAAAGGATTCCCTATTTAATAAATGGTGCTGGGAAAACTGGCTAGCCATATGTAGAAAGCTGAAACTGGATGCCTTCCTTACACCTTATACAAAAATCAATTCAAGATGGATTAAAGACTTAAACGTTGGACCTAAAACCATAAAAACCCTAGAAGAAAACCTAGGCATTACCATTCAGGACATAGGCATGGGCAAGGACTTCATGTCTAAAACACCAAAAGCAATGGCAACCAAAGCCAAAATTGACAAATGGGATCTAATGAAACTAAAGAGCTTCTGCACAGCAAAAGAAACTACCATCAGAGTGAACAGGCAACCCACAAAATGGGAGAAAATTTTCACAACCTACTCATCTGACAAAGGGCTAATATCCAGAATCTACAATAAACTCAAACAAATTTACAAGAAAAAAACAAACAACCCCATCAAAAAGTGGGCGAAGGACATGAACAAACACTTCTCAAAAGAAGACATTTATACAACCAAAAAACACATGAAAAAATGCTCACCATCACTGGCCATCAGAGAAATGCAAATCAAAACCACAATGAGATATCATCTCACACCAGTTAGAATGGCAATCATTAAAAAGTCAGGAAACAACAGGTGCTTGAGAGGATGTGGAGAAATAGGAACACTTTACACTGTTGGTGGGACTGTAAACTAGTTCAACCATTGTGGAAGTCAGTGTGGCGATTCCTCAGGGATCTAGAACTAGAAATACCATTTGACCCAGCCATCCCATTACTGGGTATGTACCCAAAGGACTATAAATCATGCTGCTATAAAGACACATGCACACATATGTTTATTGCGGCACTATTCACAATAGCAAAGACTTGGAACCAACCCAAATGTCCAACAATGATAGACTGGATTAAGAAAATGTGGCACATATACACCATGGAATACTATGCAGCCATAAAAAATGATGAGTTCATGTCCTTTGTAGGGACATGGATGAAATTGGAAATCATCATTCTCAGTAAACTATCACAAGAACAAAAAACCAAACACCGCATATTCTCATTCGTAGGTGGGAATTGAACAATGAGAACACATGGACACAGGAAGGGGAACATCACACTCTGAGGACTGTTGTGGGGTGGGGGGAGCGGGAAGGGATAGCATTGGGAGATATACCTAATGCTAGATGACAAGTTAGTGGGTGCAGCACACCAGCATGTCACATGTATACATGTCACTAACCTGCACATTGTGCACGTGTACCCTAAAACTTAAAGTATAATAATAAAAATAAACAAATAAATAAATAAAAATAAAATATTAAAGATTTGTTTCTGATACAAGTAAGAAGCAAACTGAAAAATAAGGCCCTAAAACCCTGAGAAAACATATTTGATGAACAAGTTTAGGAAGCGAAGCATCTGCGGTGATTTAGCTAATAAGTCTCATTTCATTCCATGTATGCTTCGCCTGCTCAAAGCCTTCTGTTGTATAACACTTTAGTGACCTTTCATGCAACAACAGGCTAAAGTACGTCTTCCTATAAAGGATTGCATTTTCCTTATCAGGAAAAAAAAAAAAAAAAAGCTCAGAGTCCCTCCAGGGATTTTAGCCCAGACTGAACACCTCAAGTTCACACAGTCAGCTTGAATTCCTGCCACCAACTAGAGCTTAGTGGAAGAAAAGTGATTCTTTTCAATTTGGCTTATGGTTGGGTATGTTTTACGTTCCTTTTGTATTACTGGAGCTAAGTACCCTTGGAATTCATACCTATGGAAATAATGGAAAGACGCTCTATTTTCATAGGCCCTGTTAATTTCCTTTAATATTTAGAAAATTCATTGAAAGACATCAAATACTTTAGTGTCTTTCAGTGAGTTATTCTAAATATTCAGGCTTAGCTTCCTATGAACTGCCTGTTAAATTTTCCCTTCATGGTTTTTTACAGCTCTGTCTCCAAAAGGGAGTATGTTGACTAGTGGCTTTGTCATTAATAACCAAGGGACAATTTTATATTACAATACCTCATTGCCAACATGTATTTAATAAAACAGTTTTAAGTTTGCTGAACTCAGTGTTCATGATTAAAAGGTTTAAATAAAAGAGAGGCTCACAACAGGAAATATATTGTCACAAAGAATATTTATTCAAAAACTTTTTTATCTTACTTGGTAATTTCTAAATTCCACTATCATTAATGTTACTAAATCATAGTTATTAAATTGATATGGCACTTGACTAACTTAAAATAATTGCACCTACAATTATTACAGTACATCCACTGACCCTACCCATAGGTCAATAGATGTAAACATACCCACACTGCAGATAAGAAAATGAAGGCAAAAAGAAAATGCACTTGCAAAGAAAATGATAGCATTCCAAGTTGTCTTTTGGAGGTGATGGATATGTTATTACCTTGATTGTGGTAAAGGTTTCACAGGTATGCACATGTCCAAACTTATCAAATTGCACACATTAAATATGTGCAGTGTTTTGCATATCAATTATACCTCAGTATAGCTCTTAAAAAAAAAATCCTGAGTTGTCTTCAGAGAACCAAAGGCAAATCCCTCCGACAAGGCAGAGATTAAGAAAGTACAATTTTTTTTCACCTTCTGTCCAGTTGTGTGCCTCTGTTTAGGGTCCTATAAACTGGCCAGAAGGAAAACAAAGTTATTCCTACAATTATCAAGATTGGTAACACTCGATAGCATTCATCAATGAATGACCGTCTCACTGGAGTCCTTTTGATGCAAATGCATGTCCTAACCTCTTTCTTTCCACTCCTCTTGGCCAAAGGGGATGCAGTGGTGTTTTCTTCCTACTGGTATCCAAAAAGTTTCTTTTGTGTATCTCACAGCACCCAGACAACAACTCTGTAGATTGTCTATAAAAAGTCTTCTCTTTATTATCATTCAAGGCCTTGGCAGTCAGCCAAATTTCACTTGGAAGTTTTACTAGCATCTTCTGTGCTCCAATCAATTGCCTTATTTTCCTTTACAGCCTAAAGGGTCTAAGAGTTTATTTGGTAAATACCTATTGAGTGTCTTCCGTGAGCCAGACACTGTTCTGGGTTCTGAGGCTAATGTAGTAAACAGTAGAAAACAGTAAATCTCATGTAGCTTGTATTATAGTAGTGGAGGAAATCAACAAATAAACAAGCAGATTTATACATCAGGTAGAAATAGGTTGCAATGAAGCAAAATAAAGCTGAGTGAGGAGAAAGAAATTCATCTCTAACATCCCAGCAAGTCCCCAATTTCCCTTGCACTAATTAGAGTTACATTTCCCTTTTCCCAAGCGTCTCTTCACTTAGATGTACTACTTATAACTTAAATACTACATTTCCAAAAGAAAGCCAAACACCAACTCCCTTTTGACCTTTTTTTTTTCTTTAAAAGCAGCAATATGCCCCTGGCAAACAAATTTCTGAGAATCAACTTTGAACCTTTTCTTTTCCTCCCTTTCCCCCATGTTCAAAAACTTGCCATGAACTATGTTTTCTACCTCTTTGTCCATTCATCTCAAATTCATTGACATCTTTCCTTCCTCATTCTCCTAATTCTAATTCAGGCTTTTAGTAATTCCTGTCTGTCTTTCACATTTTCTGTTAAGCATTGAAATTACACAGACAATATGCCAAGTCGCATGAAAGAAAACATCTCTCATAACTTTAAAAAAACATCGTTGTTATCAGTCATACAAGATGGGGATGAGAATATAAATAATTTTCAGAAGAAAGGACTGCTTAAATACTTATTTGGTGTCCTGCATAAATTATCAGACATGAAGCACATGAACTAAATCTTGAAGGATGCTACCCTCTTAAAGATACATTACAAAAAAGCCCCGAAATACCACATTGGCAACTATCACTGGCAAATTCAGCAAAGGTAGTTTCTGATAAGTTATTGTTTACATCCAAATATTTCTACAGTATTAGATCAAAGAAGAATCTAATACTGTAGATCCTTACAGTATTAGATGGGAAGAACATAAAGAGCAAATTTTCTAGAAAGAACAGAGTAAAAGATGCTGGAGAACAAATAACAGAAGGAGGAATCTACAACCAATAAGGAACTCAAAGCAAGAACTTAAGACTTTTGTTAAATTAATAATTTAGAAAGTACATAAAAATGTGATTTGATGCTTTTGATCACTGTTGATAACGTTCCAAAAATGTACTAGAATGGCATCAGTCAAATGCAGAAATATCTTTTTCAATATACATACAAAGGAAATAGAATACCTGGTTTCTACTCTCATCCTCAGATGTTGTGTGACTCAAGATAAAACTCTATAAATCTGTACTGATTTGTAAAATTAAGATAATTATTCCTACCAATCTCAAAGTAATTTTGTGAAGATAAATGATATCACTTGAAAGGGCTTCAGGAACTATTAAGTATTTTGTAATTTGGGGAATTTAGTTTATTTTTAAGGATATAAGGAGATTCTTGATAGATAGAAGTTACTCTTTTCTAAATAATGCAGAGATAAACTACGACCCAAACATCTAGCTGCCATCAAAATTACCTGGACAAAGATCTGTCAAATGTTTTATGACCCTTATTGCTCAGAGAAGTTTTAGAATATGCAGTAGTCTCTTTAGAGCCTGAATAAATGTCATTATATAAAAGAAACTGAAAACAGAAAAAGATGGTATTATGGGTATCTTAAAAATGTAAGCTAACCCCAGTAATTCAATTTTTGAGAAGGAAAAAATACCTCTACCTCTCTATCTACATGGCACCCCAAAAAGTTCCATATGTGGTTGAAGAACCCTTCCATAAAAGGTGAGAAGAATCAAGTCTCTCTGTGCTGACCCCCATAATCTTAACTGTAATGGTTGGTTGGATCCAGTTGATGCCTATTCTTCTCCCTGAGGTCTTTAGGAAGACATCCAAACAATTTCTGAGAAGAAGTGCACATGGAAATTGACTGTACACTGTCTCCTTGGCTGTGAACTCAAGCATGTAGGTAAAATAAACTACAGAAAATATGCCCTCTACTTCTGATTTAAATTTGAATGCCCCCTCATGAGTGAAATGGTAAAAATCCAGCCTGGTTACATTCAGAGCTGCTTCTTTTCTCATCTTGGTTCTGGGTCACCCTCTGTTGGAACTTCTTCCATACCCAGGCCATCAGCATGGTCCGAATAATCAGAATGATCACAGTCCTTCCATCAGAGCTTTAGTGCCGTCCTCCCTAATCTGAGGGTTGTAAGCCATCTCTCTCTACCTACACAGCATACAGATCATGGTTAATAAGAGCAAGCCCCAGGCCACTCAAGCTCCATTCGCATCACAGGCTCAGGACACCCTCATTTCCCTCCTGGCCTTTTCTTGTGTCTTTGGAAGGTCTACATGGCTTCTGACTCAAGCTTTGCTGTCCATTTTTGGTCCTAATTCTATCCATTGGACTTGAAGATTCATCTTGTTTTCTTCACATTATCCCTTGGTTCACCCGAAGATCTTTGGTTCATAATTATCATCTATTTTTTTTCTGCCATCCCTCCTAAATCCCTGTAATCAAGTTAATTAAATATTTCAAAACAAACTCAATAATAATAACAACAGCAGCAGCAGCAATAAAAATACTAATAAACCTGAGTTTGACTTGGATCTCAATTTCAGTGGAGACCTTACTGTTTTTGTCTGCCCTGATCTTGATCTATTGTAACCCACTCTCCACCACCATGGTAGAGACCATCCTACTAAGAGGGAAGCTCAGAGCAGTGAAGCTCTAACTCGGTAAATACCTCTTAGAAAACTAGTCCTTAATTTAGTCTCATTGTCAACAAGAGCCCATCCAGATAAACAGGAATTTAGACACTATCTGCAAAAAATCCCCAGTCTTAAACTATATATATACATATATATATATATATGTATATATGTATATATATATGTGTATATATATGTATATATGTATATATTTGAGACGGAGTTTCCCTCCTGTCACCCAGCTGGAGTGCAATGGCATGATCTCTGCTCATTGAAACTTCTGCCTCTGGTGTTCAAGCAATACTCCTGAGCCTCCCGAGTAGCTGGGATTACAGACACGCACCACCATGCCCAGTTAATTTTTGTATTTTTAGTAGAGACGGGGTTTCACCATGTTGGCCAGGCTGGTCTTCAACTGCTGACCTTAGGTGACCCATCTGCCTCAGCCTCCCACAGTGCTGGGATTACAGGCGTGAGCCACGGCACCCAGCCAATAATTTTTTTAAGTGCAAACTTTAAATAGAGTCACTGTGTAATTATTACACAGTTCTTCTGGTACTGTTTATATTAGCTAAGGTACAATGTAGAAGACAAAAGAGGCAATGTAGAAGACAAAAGAGGATCACACTCTTTTGATCCATCTCCTGTAAAATACTTGCTATAGTTCTATAGTTGTCCCAAATTAAGAATTTTCTGTCTTCTCTTTCTGCTATGCTGCATGGCTTAGAATTATAAAGAAATTTTGAATTTTTTGAGGGGCTCTTAATTTTCTTCTTTTACACCATATGTCTCATCCAGGACTCTACACTCTCCTTATTTTATCCTCATACCAATTATATGCGATAAATATGATAACTCCTATTTTAAGAGATGTTAAGTTGTTTATCCAAGGTCACATAGCTGGCAAAGGGAAAAGCAGAATTAAACCCTGGTCCTTCTAATATCAGGGTCTCTGTTTTTGTCATTATGCCATTCCACTTTGGAAGAGAAGAGACATTCTGCCTTGGTAAAAGGGTTTCCCATGCAAAAAAGAAATGCAGTATCAAGCCATGAAAAGTCCTGGTGGAATCTTACATGCATATTACTAGGTGAAAGAAGCCAGCCAGAAAGGGCTACATGCTATATGAGTCCAGTGACATGACATTCTGTAGAAGGCAAAATTATAAAGACAGTAAAAAGATCAGTGATTGCCGGGGGTTGGGGGAGGAAAGGATGATTAGGAGGAGCACAGGGGAATTTTAGGGCAGCGAAACTGTTACGGTACTCTAATGGTAGATACATGTCACGCATTTATCAAAACCCATAGAATGTACAACACCAAGAATAAACATTAATGTAAACTATGGACTTTGGATGATGATGATGTGTCAATGTAGGTTCACTGATTGTAATAAATGTACCATTCTAGTGTAGGCTATTCATAGTGGAGGATGTTGTGTTTGTGTGGGGGCAGGAAATATACAGGAATTATCTGTACTTTCTGCTCCATTTTTCTGTGAACCTAAAACTGCTCTAAAAAAATAAAGTTTTTTTCTAAGAGAAAACAAAGGATTTCCCCACTACACAGACATCACGGACTTTATGTTACTTTGCACCCTGCTCCAGTTTCTATCTGTAGCACCCCAAATATTAATAAGAGAATAACTAGAAAAAAGTAAGCCAATAGAAGGAGATGCTAGGAAAGAAGTAATGGGTGTCCTAGGGCATTTTGATTGTCTCTATTTGACTTTCTTTCTCCTTCCTCTTATCTTGTTGGCCTTGTGTTCTTTTGTTTCTTTTATCCCCACTCTAAAACCTCTTTATTCACAAATGAAAAAGAAAAAACAAAAACTAAACTTTTTCACAGTACTTTTAGAATTGACTGTTCCAGTTACCATTGCTGCCAAAACTTAGTGGTATAAAGCAACCATTTATTACGCTCATAGGCTCTGTGGGTTAATAACTCAGACAGGCACAGAGGGGATGGCTTGTCTCTGTTCTCTGATGTCAGAAACCTGAGCTGAAAAGATTCCAAGACTGAGCTGACTCAACAGTGAGGGTCTAGAATCATTTAAGGGACACTTGTTTGACCCACAGCCCACAGGCTACATGCAGCCCAGGACAGCTTTGAATACATCCTAAAACAAATTTGTAAATTTTCTTAAAACATTATGAGATTTTTTGGCATTTTTTTTTTTGGCTCACCAGCTATCGTTAGTATCAGTGTATTTTATGTGTGACCCAAGACAATTCTTCTTCTTCTAATGTGGCCCAGGGAAGCCAAAAGACTGGACACCCCGATTGAAAGGTATTTTATTTCCCACACCTGGATTTGGATGCTGGCTATCAGCTGATACATTAGTTATACTGTTACTGAAACACTTATCCATTGGTCCTTCATTGATCTCTCCATGCGGGCTAGCTTGGGCTTCCTTGTGGCATCATGGCTGTGTTCCAAGAGAGAACATCCCAAAAGAGCAAGATAAAAGTGCATGACACTTTTATGGTCTGACCTTAGAAGCCCCATAGTGTCATTTATAGCATAGTCAAAGCTGCCAGAAATGTCTGCCCATGTTCAAGAGGAAGAGACATACTCAAACCATTGTATGGGAGGAAGGTCAAAGTCACATTGTAAAAACATATAAAATAGGAGATACTCTTACCGCCATTTTGGAAAATATAATCTGCCACAGTAACTCTTATTATATCTTATTGTATCTTACATTGCTAAGTATGTATTGAATTTGAATATTTGGTTAGACTGTTCCACATGTTTACCTCTGATTGTTTAAGATGGTAAACCACATTTGGCAGGGACAGCAATGTTGAGTTAATTTACATGACCTCCACCATAGTACCTTGCGCTTGGTAACCATAACATGTAATATTATTACTAGTGCTGCAATTGCTCATAGATACATGCACTTGAGTGGTCATTATTTATATTTATATGCTGTAACATTTTGTAGCATGTCACAGAAAATCTACACTAACCAAAAAGGCATATAGCATCTCTATTGTGTAGATGAATTCTATTACTCCAATTAGGTCTTGGTTGTTTGAAAATAGTACATCATTTTTTCTACCAAGTGAATAAATTCTTGTAAGGCAATAATTGAATCTTACAATGAGCAGTGGGGGAGGGGGGCAGCGGAATCACTACCTTGAAGGAACTATCATTTCTTCCATTTCTTTTTTCTTCACAATTAGTTACTTTTAGAAGTTTAATAGATTATTACTAATAAAAGGTTTATTAGTAATCTGTGTGGGTGCTTGATCATGGATGTATATCTCTTCTGAAAAGCTAATTAATGAATTGTCCCTTTTCAGTTGATTTCATAGGTGGCTTTGACTCTTATGGCTATCAAGGGCCTCAGAAGACATCTCATTTACAACTACAGCCTATGTACATGTAAGTATTTTACTTGGAAGGTACTCTTCTGGGGTACTAAAGATAATCAAGTAACTGTATCACGATACAAAATTGATGGCATGCAGCTTTTGTTCAGTTATATTTTTCCAGTATTTTTTCTATTAATATTGTCTTGGCTGGGATAATTTTAATAACATTTTTCCATGAATTTTTCTTATTTGACTTATAAGAAATGCCATTTCTAAAGTTATATTTAGTCTTACATAAGTATCACCTACATGGCTCAAAAGCCTATGTTAATTATCTACCACTTCTTTGAGTTGCCAAAAAGTTGTATTTTTTGAAAATGATATAATGTAGGCAGTTATATATAATTATATATAAACCATATGTTCTGGTTTCAGTTTACAGTGGTTGTCCTGGCATAATTATTACTCTCAAAAGAGTTCTCATTTAGATGATAAATAATAGGTTCACCCTAGTTATATGTAGTGTTAAGAAAATAAAAAACTGAGTAATACACTTTCTCTATCATTTTTCTGATGTAAAAGTGAAAATGAACTGGAACATTAACACTGAAATTTATCGAACCCTTAACTCTAGCACTCAGGAGAGCAGACATACAATCAGAGCCTGATTTTTATATCTGTGTTTAGGCAAATTCCCTTGGATAACAACTGATAACAAATTCTATATATCAGCATCAAGTGATATGCTGAATTGCAAGCGAAGATCAAAATAGAAAGTAAGATTCCAATTCATTTTAAAATGTGAACTTCTCTTTGAAGATATGTGTTTGTTGTCGTTGTCCTCCACCATTGAATCATTTTACCTTTTAATATCTTTAGTGTGTAGGATAATAAATGGAGTTTGGGAGTAAGTATTGCTCCTCCAAAGAAATTAATCTTTAAACATCCCCTTTTTAAGCTTCTCTTTAAAAAAAGAATAATCTTGCACCGTGCCTGCCTTTTTCTTTGTGTCACTTGTAGTTCTCTGAAATCATTTGCTAATAGCACCCATAAAACAGACTTTAGCAGTTCAGAAATCAACCAGTATGTTGCTTCATTCAAAGCATTGCTTCTGTAAACACTGTATTACACATTTCCTCTTTTACATCCTCACAACGACTGCACTAATTCATGCAAGTATGACCTGTTAAGTTTTTCGGTCTCTTCCTTATTTCAGAACCTCCATTGTATCCTCCATATGGCTGCCAAATTAATCTTCCTAAAGTACTGCGCTGATGATTTCACTTCCCTACTTCAAAGCTATCAAGGAGTCCCTATTACCTACTGTTGAAACAGTATCTCTTCTCTTCAACTCTTAATAATGTTTGAGTCCCAACCATATGCAGATGACACTGGAGATATTAGGAAAATGTAGTAATGAATAAGAACTAGCCCTGTCCTCCTGAAGTTTATAATCTATTGAGAGCATAAACAGTCTGATAGCTCCCCTTAGCCATTTTTTTCTTGCCTTATCCAAATATGATATGTATTTTTCCAATTCATGCTGTTCTCTTGACAACAAACATCATCTTTTTTCCAAATTCCACTCTTTGAAACCCCACTATCCTTTGAATTTTCTTAAGATATATTCCTTTATGAAACATTTGTTAATCTTTTCTCCTCTAATATTTCTTTTATTTCTTTCCCCATGTACTACAGTTGTTTGCTATGCATGCCATACCTTCCTTCCCTATCCCCCCAGAAAGATTCTTGATAGCTACAACAACAAAACATGATCAATCCTTCACACTCTTTACCATTCTTCTCAATATTTTATGTAACATTCTATAAAGTGTTCTATTTAAAAAGGCAATCAGGACTAGTGGTTAAGACGACCTACTGAAGGCATACTGTCTGAGATTAAATTCCCTCCGACCGTGGGCATGTAACTTTGTTTGAATAACTCTATTTAATTTTACCAAGCCTAAGTTTCCTCACCTGCAAAATAGAGATCGCATACAGACTTTATCTGATTGCTCTGAAATTATATGAAAGAATATATATAAAGCACATGAAACGTAGGATATGTCACATAGTAAGTGCTTAATAAACATAATTCATTAGTGGTAGAATAATGCTTGTGTTAATCAACATCACTCATGAAAAGGCTGTATCAAGTCAGAAGTAACATACACTGCAAGTCATTCCTAAAAGATCTCCTCTGTAAATGGTATATTATATATAACAGCGGTCCCCTGGGCCGTGAATAGTCCTGGCCCATGGTCTGTTAGGAGCTGAGCACAGAGCAGGAGGTGAGCAGCAGGTGAGGGAACATTACTGCCTAAGCTCTGCCTCCTGTCTGATAAGCAGCAGTATTAGATTCTCATAGCAGTGTGAACCTTATTGTGAACTGCATGTGTGAGGGATCTAGGTTTTGTGATCCTTATGAGAATCTAATGCCTGATGATCTGAGGTGGAACAGTTTCATCCTGAAACCATTCCCCCCAACCCTGGTCTATGGGAAAATTGTCTTCCACAAAACCAGTCTCTGGTACCAAAAAGGTTGAGGACTGCTGACATATAACATCAGCTCAAGTAACATGTAATACTATATTTATGCTCAAGAGTAGAATATGGCTAGGCACAGTGATTCATGCCTGTAATCCTAGCACTTTGGGAGGCCGAGACAGGTGGATCACCTGAGGTCAGGAGTTCGAGAGCAGCCTGGCCAACATGGCGAAACTCCATCTCTACTAAAAATACAAAAATTAGCCAGGCATGGTGGTGCACGCCTGTAATCCCAGTTACTCGGGAGGCTGAGGCAGGAGAATCTCTGGAACCTGGGAGGTGGAGGTTGCAGTGAGCAAAGATCGTGCCACTGCACTCCAGCCTGGTTAACAAAGTGAGGCTCTGTCTCAAAAAAAAAAAAAAAGGAGAATAAAATATCTACAAGGTTTGTAATTGCTTGCTACTAATAATATTACATAATATTTTACTGTATTGGCCAATATGAGTGACCAATAAATATGATCAAGCTGTAATAAATTAGAGGTAATCTCTCATCTAAAGATAAACATGAGAATGCTAATTATATACAATTTAATATATTAAATTCAAATCAAGCATTTATAATTCTAATGGGCTTTAAAGAAGAGACTCTACAAAGATAGATATCTTTGTCCAGAATTAAATTGCATAAGGACAAAACTTATGATTTTGTTAAACAGAGCACTTTAAATGCCAACTAAAAGTTATAAAAAATATATTGTTTTCCTCTTTACTGCATGAGAGTGGTAAAATTGTATCAGAGATTTCAAGTCTCACTGGTCATGAAATAAGTAAATGTTTAATGGAATTCAAATTTAGGAAGTTATGTATACTTAAGGTACATTTAAAAATTACTAGTCAAAATACTCCAATCATTCCTTCCACAAAACATCCCATAGGAGACCTCGGATCCTAGAACAGTAAGGTTTTATTTTACAGACGAGGAAACTCAACCCAATAAAAGGAAAACAAAAGTCACACAACTTGTTACTGGTGCAGCCATGATTATCAACGGGTTTTCCTGACCCCTTCAGTTAGTGTTCTTTCCAAATTCTTAGACAGACTGTGAGTTTGACCTGGTATTACATTCTGATTTTTAATTTGCTTGTTTGTATTCTTAACACTAACTTAGCTGCCACATTTCCATACATGGCTGTGCCTCTCTCCCTTTTCTGCATTCTGTTTATTTCTTTTTTATTTTACATTACGCACTGTTAAATGAAGGGCCTTTTCAACTTCATAGCCCACAAGACCAATCATCTGAGAGCCACTGCTTATTCAAATCTAGTGAAAAACCAAAACTGACACACCTATAAACCTCATCCCCTACTGAGAGGCAGAGAACTTAGCATCTCCTATGTCTTTATCATTTAGAGTGTACCTTCTGTCAACCTGCCATAAATATGTCTTGTAAAGTAAGAGTAATTTAACTTCAGGGGCCAGTCCAAACACCCTAAAAATATTATATAGCAAATGGAAACACAAGCTCTTCCTTGGAAGGAAAACAAATGTTGAAAAGCAATAGGCATTTTTAGCTGTGGGGCTCCCACTGTTCCCAGCAAATCTTCTGTGGCCAAGATCCTGGACAAAGCTTTGAAAACACTGCTGTAACTGACCTACAGTCACAGCTGTGTTTCAGTTCCTGCAAACAATGAATAGACAGTCCTCTTAAGTTGGGTGACTGTTCTTGGTTTGTAATTTTTCAGATGATGTATAACTAACCTAAAAAGGAAAGATTTTAATTATATTTTTCTTAAAGTTTGGTACATGTTGTTGAAACAAATCAATAACAACAAAGTTGCTGCACAAAAAAAATCCCATGTCTGCGTGCTCCAGCCCCGGCAACAGAGCTAGACTTTGTCTAAAAAAAAAAAATCCCGTGTCTACAGCTTAAGTTTTTAACAAAATAGCTGCTTTGACTACCAGAGACCTATGTGACTGTCAGAGCAAGTAGAGATCTGATTGGGCTTCCAGCAATATAAGAATATCCTATAATATATCACACAACATTTGTAAACATTGCATTCTTTTTGGCAGCCTAATTGTACAGAAGTACATATTCATTTCAGTTGTCCCTGGAAATAGATTCTAAATGACCAAAACTGGCCTCTCTATCCCTGCAATTGCCATGAATAAAAAGAAAAGGAGGAAAATTATCTATTTAAAACCCAATTTGGGCTTCTTTTTTGTTTGTTTGTTTGTTTGCTCTTGTGCTTGGAAAGGTGAGAAAAGGTGGTGAGCAGCAGGCACCTGTCACTTTCCCCCTTGACTAAAAACATCTTTTCTCTCTCTCAGGTCAAAATAATACAGATGACTTCAGTATGTCAGCCCATGGACCTTTCAAAGAACTTTTTTCGCAGTGGCCTCCTGCATTTCATGAAGAGCAAGAAGCAACTGAGTTTAAATACATACACGTATTAACAAAACAAATGCAAAGCCTCTACATACAACACTGACACACACACACACACACACGTGAGCACGCACACACCAATTCCACTTGACCTCCTCTTTCTAACTGAAACAGACAAATATGCAGGACACGCCCATCTTGGATTTCCTGAAAGCAGGCCCCTTTCTCCCAGGCCTTCGGAAAGTTCAGAAGGAGATGTGTTGATGCCCAACGGTTGCCGGCCATTGCTAACTCCTCTGCAGCCCAGCGGGTTGGCCTCTGTGAGCTGGGAAGTCATCCAAGGCACATTAGTTTGAGAGCTCTGTCTTCTGCACTCCATACATCTTGACAGCACCACGGCTACTTAGGCAATGTAATTGCAAAAACAAACGAAACATGCCATGATGACCTTGTACCCGAAGTCCGAAATGGCAGATTGTTTGCCCTAAAGGCTGTACCGTACATACTTGCCTTAACCCACCTACATTGTGTGCCCAAGAATCCCAGTGCAGACAGCCCCAAGCCACTTCCTTTAGGCTAACACACTGCTATTAATTCTAAATGAGTTCAAGCCTGTGTGTTTCATGTCAAGGAACAAGACTGAATAGCTCAGCAGCTCCAGTGTGTCTGTATAAGAAAAGTGCCAGCTGTCAGCAAAGTGCTTTACCATAGAGCCTCCATGGTGGCCCAAAAGAGACAAGTAACAATAACAATATCTGTCATCTTTATAATTCTAAAATATGGTCTTCTGATGGGGTTGGGGGTGGGACAGAGTAAAACATTAATCTACTAAACTCACTAATCTACTGGAAGCAGAAAGCAGAAATGGCTTAACTCGCTGATTTTATTTATTGCACTCTAGGTGCTTTTATAAGTATCTACAATTGTCTTTTACTAACACAGAAACAGCTGTGGATTTCTATCAACAGAGGCCAACTGAATATGTATTAGCTATGTTTACTCTTTTATATCTAATTCAAATTGAAGACTCTACGTAGGTGAACTTTTTTTTCTAACTTCAGTGTACAAGATTATTTTTGGGTGGGTGGGGGGAGCAATAGTTACCTTGGTGAAATATTTGAGATCTTTTTGTGGTATTTGGGGGATCTGTTGTGTGTTAGAGTGTATTTCAACCCTCCTGTATTATTGTGGCAGAAAAACTGTGCTGTTAACGTAGTTGGCAACAAGATGCCTTTGGAAACTTAATAGTAGGTCAATGTGTTTATGGAATATTCTGAACTCCTAGGAAATTTTGTTCTATATTTTAAAGCATTATTTGGTTTTCATTAGTGGAAAACATAATTAGCTCAGGCTTATCAGGAACTCAGATGAGTCATATTTTTTCTTGGATACACCTGAGACATTAAACTCAATTTTTTAAAACTAACACACCATTCTTTAGTGCAGTGAAATTCAAAAGTTATAAATTGGCATGGAGCAAGTTTTTTCTTTGATTTCTATGAAGTTTCAGTTATTGGATTAAACTACTTTAGACCTTAGCCCATTCGGATCTACATACACCAGTTCCATTACTGTGTTTGCATGGATGTCTGTAATATACACACACATATACATTTGAAAATGATAGAGGAACAAAGAGTTATCATTGGAACATAAACTATAAAAAAAGATTCCAGCACTCATGCTTGAATTTCCTCAGTGGGTTGTATGTTTGTCCATACATACATGTATAAAATAAACAATTGCAAACATGTCAGTGAAACCTCATATGACGCTTTTATAGTGACATGCATGTTTAATGTATGAGAAAAATATTTACCAATGTATTGTCCTTTGAGTCCTAAAATATAAATACTATACATGCCAGAAACTATTCTAATGTGACTTTTAATGTGACTATTAAAAATGAGGTTTCACTGTACATTCATGCTGTGATGCGATTTCACCTTATAGTACATGTATATGGGTACAGAAAATAAACCCTCATATTCCTGCTTTAAGTTACAGCCAAGTTTTCACCAAATCACAACTATCATCACCACCAAAATTTTAAAAAACAGTAGTTGACTACTAAAAAGTAATCAGTGGACAGGTCATTTATGGGATCAGTAAGCACAGTAGTGTGATTATATCTGGGAAAACATCTACAGTTGTACAGCTGTATCCTCCTCAAAATCCGGTGAAGAATGCTATTTTTCTAGGCTGAGCTTTTGTTATAAACTTAATATTCAGAAGGCAAGGGTTATGATCCTGATGTGTCCTTTTTTTTTGCATTTGTTAATTCTGAATGTATTTTTAACAGAATGATTTTTTTGACTTACTAGTGTAATTTGCATTTTAAAAATAAATGGAAAAATACTTAAGTTTCTGAGCCATCCCTGAAAACCCCTGCTGCTTCTCATGGTGTATTTGCTTATGTCATTGACAGAGACACCCTATTAAATTTACATGAAGGCAACACTGATATTTTGTGCAGTGCAGGGATGTGTCAGCAGTGAAAAGAAATTGCCGGGTCATGGCATCATTTCTACTCAGTCATAGGTAACACGTACTTTCATTATCTGCTAACACTGAGGGTTCTTTTAGAAGACTGCCTGCAATAGACTTTTCATTTGGGGAACCTTCCTCCACCCCCACCTTCTATCTGGGATTTAGAGTTAGCATCAAGCTAATTAATAGTTGGCAGAGGGTTAGGTCACTACATTTAAAAATCTTGGTTAAATTATAGGCAGAGCTTTTTTTTTATTTTTATAGGCCAAATTATTTAAAATAATCTAAAATACTCATTTATTTCCACTTTGATGACAGGATCTTTTGTTATTGTTGTTTGAATATTGATATTCACCTCAACAGATGACAGTGTTGAGATAAAGCAGGCAAATAGGAAGGATTAGCCACTGGCATTAGCGATTGTACAAACATTGTTTCAGGTGAGGTTCATTGTATATACCTAAATGATTGAGGGCAGCAGGCGCAGGCTGCTCCAAGCACAGGCTGTGTCAGGTTCGGGATTGTGTCCTCTCTCCCACTGCACACAAACACACACCAGCTCCCATCAGTCAAAATGCTGGAGTTGACTGAAGACATGAAAGGCTTCGAGGCCATATTTTAAGAGGCTGAAGATCAACTTGTAGTCCTTGACATCTCAGCGGCATGGTGAAAGCCTTGTAAATGATCAAGCCGGCTTTTACTTTTGTCCCCTGTGTAAAAAGTATACTGATGTGTTGTTCATTGAAGTCACTGTGAATAACTTCAGGATGTTTCTTCACACTGTGATGTGAAATGCACACAACAATGTAGTTGCATAAAAAGGACAAAACTAATAGATCAACTATGTGTATATATACTGTAAAGAAAGGATTCTTTCTTCTGGAGTTCTCAATTAAATAGGTTGTGAGTTTGGTAAAATCCCGTGGAACCAGGATCTGCATCTGTTAACTATTAAAAAATACAACTTCTGATACATTTCACTCTACTATACATCTGATACATTTCACTCTACTATAATGAGTAGACCATTTTAATTCAGAAATACAAACTCATTTTAAATAGGTCACATTTTAGAACAAACTTTTGAGATCCAAACCTATTCATAATTCAAACCCTTAAACTAAAACCTACTAAGGTGGTTAAGGAACTATTCAATATTACCTTGTGTCCTGAAAATGCAAATAACTCGCCATTGCACAGCAAATTTTAAGATGTATACTCTGGTCAGAATAGAATAAAACAAATCCCAGACTCTATAAACTGACCCTGAGTTTTAAAAATTCAAATAAACTTTGATAAGGAAGACCCTAAGACAGTATTAAATCATAAAATATTTCTGAATTATTGTGTGTCAAGTTCAGTATAGTATCAATGTTAAATATATTTTATTATATCACAGTTTTTTAAAACTGATAATCCAAATTAATATGTAAACATGTATATATGATGTGTTCTTATACATTAGTAAGACACTTATGTGTTCAATTTCAGGGCTATACGTTTTTCTGTTATTTTGTTTACAGTACACTTAGAGGTAACTAATACTAGAGAGATTAAGATTACGTAAGCAGTCTCATGTTGACTATTCCCAATACTCTTCAAGAAAATATTTCTTCAGATGTTTCATCTGTCTTTGGTAAAATTTTAGCACTCAACACTTGTACTTAGGAAGCTTTTACATGAAGATCCTTACATTGTAAAATTCCAGTTATTCTCATCACATGCAAATCTTTGCTTAGGATCCACTGTCCAAGGCTCTTTTCCTTTTATTTATGCCTACTTTCCACCCACTCCAAGAAAGGAAAGAACAAAGTCTGTGATTAATATACGATGTCCAGTTTACAATATGCGAGCATCTTGAAACAATTTTGATAGTTATGAGAGCCAAATGTATACAACATACATGTATTTTATGACTTTTAATTCAACAAAACTTGAACTAGATAATACATTCGAGGATCACATCTACCACTGAAATCTGCACCGGTGTTAGGAGACGTGACTACCCATGACAACAAAGACAAGCTGCGTTTCCCCTAAAAGGTATAAAGGCGGATTTTTATAATGAAGGTCATTTTTAAAAAATCCTTAATTATTATGGAGTTTAGAATCAAAATGCACTTAAAATTTTAAAGTAACAAAAGTTAATTTCTGTAAGACAAATTCAGAGAGAAAAAATCCTTTTACAAACTACATGTTGATGCTCTTACATGTTCTAAATTGTTATTAAAATTAATGTGAGCATTTTCTATAATGAAAGTACCTTAATAATGTGGCACCTTAATAGTAAAACAGGTATATTTTTAACTGCTTATTCTATGAATTTAAACTGTACCTGCAAAGGAATAAAACAACTCCCAGAAAACATTGCAAATTTGGTGCTGTCACCCCAAGGTTGATGGATTGATTCAATTAAACAGTAAGTCTTTTCTAAGAGTCCTTCAGGGAGTTATTTACCAGAGGCATATCTTGTTTATTCCCTTCCATGAGCCTGTCATTTTTCTTCATTATTCTTCTGGTTTTACTTATTATATCATTTGGGGATATGCTGATCTTCACGTACAGAAGATTTTGCACACAGCTGTCCAGACATACATCTTTCAGACTTCAAACTGGAGGCCACCAGAACACCTGAGCCTCTTGTCACTGTTTACTCAAGCTGACCAAGATACTCTCAGGATGAAGTCAAATAGCTAGACTTACAAATTGTAAATCAATGGGAAAGTATCAAATTGAATGAAAGCTATGAAAAATTATTCTTAAAGGTAGTAACCTTGTGTTCCACACGTCATGGAACTGGCTTCACCATAGACGACCTCCTAATCTCCAAAAGCAAGTAGGTAGGAGGAATAATAGATGGCTGAGAGGCCAGGACCCATGCTAATAATTCATGGTAAAACAAAAACATATTCAGTGATTCTGTTGTTTTGGATACTGAAAGAGAAATAAATAATCTTAAACATGAAACATTTCTGTTTCTAATGGACCGAATCACCTTGTCAGTTTAAGTTACAAAGAGTAAGGATTCCATCTCACACCTGTAGAATGGCTGTTATCAAAAAGACGAAATATAGGTGTTGGCAAGGATGCAGAGGAAATGGAACCCTTGTGCACTGTTGGTGGAAATGTAAATTACTACACTATTATGAAAAATGCTATAGAGTTCCTCTGAAAATCAAAAATAGGACTAACGTATGATCCAGCAATCCCATTACTGAGTATATATCCAGAGGAAATGAAATCATCATGTCAAAGAGATATCTACACTCCCATGCTCATTGCAACATTATTCACAATAGCCAAGATACAGAATCAACCAAAGTATCCATCAACGGATAAGTGGATCAAGAAAATGTGGTATGTATGTGTATATATATAAAATATATGCCTGCAATGGAATACTATTCAAGCCTTACAAAAGAAGGAAATCCTGTCATTTGCAGCAATGTGGATGAGCCTAAAGGACATTATGTTAAATGAAATAAACCAGACACAAAAAGATATAGACTGTATAATCTCACTTATATATGGAATCTAAAAGGGCTGAATTCATAGAAGCAGAGAGTAGAATGGTGGTTGCCAGAGTCTGAGGGTGGGGAGGATTACAGAGATACTGATCAAAGGATACAAAATTTCAGTTAGACAGGAGGAATAAGTTCAAGAGATCCTTGTACAACATGGTGACTGTACTTATTAATAACAATGCATTGAATACTTAAAGATTCCTAAGAGAATAGATTTTAAGTGTTCTGACCACAAAAAAAGAGAAACATGAGGTAACAGATATGTTAATTAGCTAGAATTAGCCATTCAACAATGTATACTTACATCAAAACATTATATTGTACACCATAAATACATACTATTTTTATTTTTTGTCTACAGAATAGTAAGGATTCAAGAAGAAATTGTCTGGAGAGGAGCCTCTTTACTAAATCTTGCTGTCCAGCACTAGCTACGTAGTTTGCTGGGCCCAGTGAACAATGAAAATGGGCCTCTCATTCAAAGGGTAGGAAAAAATTGCTGCCAAAGGTATTAAAGTATAAAACATTTTCCTTTAACAATATTTTATTACTGATAAAGTATAATGAGGGTAGTAATAATATATGAGTAACAATATATAATTATAAAATATAAAAAAGAATGAGTGTCATAATTGTATAATACAATAAATATACTTTATTAATGGGACATCTCAATGATTATAAGATTTTTCTGACACACCTTTCTGCAACTTTATTGATTAGATCATCAAAATGTAAACTTTTAGCCAGCTCATTTTCAATCAACACAATTGAAAAAGATGTCAGCCATTCTTGGCAAATGCATCGCAATTTCTTATGTTTTTTAATTTTAAGAAGAATCTTTTTGCTGACCCAACTGTTGCTGGAGTTATTATGAATATTTTACAGACTGTGAAAATATTGGGATACATTTCTGATAAATTACTTTGAAAATAATTAGGTAAATAATTTTGAAAGATAAATTTGGCTGGGCACTAGGTGGCCAGATCACTTGAGGCCAGGAGTTTGAGACTAGCCTGGCCAACATGGTGAAACCCCGTCTCTACTAAAAATACAAAAATTAGCCAGGTGTGGTGGCACACACCTGTAGTCCCAGCTACTTGGGAGGCTGAGGCGGGAGAATCACTTGAACCCAGGAGGCGGAGGATGCAGTGAGCTGAGATAGCACCACTGCACACCAGCCTGGGCAACAGAGCAAGACTCTGTCTCAAAAATAATAATAAGATAAATTTTAGTCATCTAGAGCTGATAATTCACAAAACACTTTTTCTGAAAAGATTTAACTCTTCATAAAAATTAGTTTCTTTAGTTTTATCTAAATTTTAAAACTCAGATGAAATGTTTTTAAAAATGTTTACCTAATTTTAAATCATTTAAATCATTTAATTTAATTTAATCATTTAATTTAAATGATTTAAAATTAAAACAAATTTTGACTTAATTTTTAAATAATTAATTTTCCTTTTTTAATTATCTAAATTTAATTAAAATTTTAACTTGTTTGGATTTGATTTTAAGTAAAAAGCTGTACAGTGGCATTTTAGTGTTTTCTCTGACATTTCTTGTAATTTGTGGAGGTTGTATAAGAAACTGAAATTGGCTTCATGATTTGTATATAATTCAAACGTGTTTATGTATTCTATCACTATATCCTTCATTACAAGAAAATTAATTTTTCATATTCTTTATTAGTAATTTGTTTATCTGAAGCTTTATATGACAATAGAGTTATTTTCTGTCTACTGCAGGTGCTACAATATTTAAGTTAATTTTCTTTGTAAGCCTGTGGATATATGATTTGGAATGTTTCAACGGCTTTCAAAACTGAAGACCATAAACTCCTTGAATACTTTCTAATTAACTTTCCTATATGCTTTATTGCGATGTCTATGTGTGTGTATTTTTAAATAATTTACTGAAAAAGTTTACCGGCTGAGCACCAAGAGTTACTGTCCCAATACTAAACCAGGGAATATTTGTGCAGAAGCTGCAAAGAGTTGCTCTCTTGGGGGATTAACAGGCAATTTGGTTTCCCATGGTTCCCAACACTGCCTGGGTCCCCTGTTTTCCCAATATACAAGGTACAGATACCTTGCTGCTGCTGTCACTGTTCTCATTGCCAATATAGTTGCAGGTCCCTTATGGGACCCACACTAAGCCCAGTGGCTCCCTGGGCACCGTCAGTCCTGTGTGTGCATGCCAGGTAGCCAGGCCAATCACTATGCACCCTGCATGCTGTGCCGAGGGCCCAGGGCCAGTGCCATTGGGCACTGCTGCTGGATCACAAAATTTCCATGGACACACCCCAGGAAATACCCTCTGCTAACAACATGCTGAAAAATAACACCTTAAGAATTTCATGAAGAGGACGGTAGAGTGATAAACCAACCATCAGACCCCTCTGAGAATGGGAACCATGTGCAACGAACTGCACCCATCACATGCCCATTAAGCCAGCTGTGCCTGCTAGAGGAGTCAAAAGTAAAAACTTCTTTCCACCCCTGCTGCCACTTCACCCTTACGTCCCATTTGTTACTGAAATAAATTGAATTAAGACTTATTTTACTTATTAGTAAAAATAGTCTCAGGATGCTTTTTATAAGAATGATGAATGATTGTGTTTCCAAAGTATTACATGGATAACAAGGCTGGTGAGTAGTTTTGAACCATCTACTACAGAATTGAATTGTCTGGTTACATGATAAAAACATGTAATCGAGACTAGCCTGGCTAACATGATAAAAACATAATATCTTCAACACGATAGAAGTGTAATAAAAACATGAAGTCATGTTTTTATTGCACTTCTATTAAAGAGAGATGTTTCGTTTGGCTAACTGAAATCCATTATAGTGCATGGGCACTAACATTCATGATTATGATTCAACTAAGGGATTCTGAGAATGTAAATTCAAGAAGAAAAATTTTAAATAACAGCAAGTGCTGCTTTTTAGCTAAAATTATAAAATAGGAATGGAGGTTAATGATAGTGTAAGTTCAATTATTTAATATAAGATGGATTTATTGTTAATATGCATGTAGAAGCTAAAAATATACCCAATTATAATGCATCTTGAATTGAGACATTCCATGTCAAAAGAGTAAATTGAAATGACTATATTTTATGTAATTAAAGATTGTATTTTCTTTATCTATATTTTCTATATGGGCATATATTGGAAGCACTGGAATACTAAAGTTTCCTTTACTTTTTTTTTCTTTTTTTTTAACATTCTGCAATGTAAGATAATATTAAGTATACAATAAGTGACACAATATTCTACGTGGTCACAGCACCTAAGCAGTAGACCCAAATTTCAAACCAAGTTGTTCTATTCATAAAGCCCACAATTCTAACCTCTGATAAAAAAAAATCTCCAGAGAGCAGTATGCAGATGTAAGTAGCTATGTTTTTTCTTTGATATCAGAGAAGGCTTATCTCTCTGATTACAGTCAATCTTATTCACTCACAGAATGAATTGTTCCCACCCTATTCAAGGAACTTCCTTCCTTCAACCCACCTCACACACTCCCACTTTCCACAAATACATTTAATTCAGACATGAAATGGGATTTCTTGACAACAAAGCCTCATTAGGAAGAGAGTGGATTTCAGGAGAAGATGCTGGAATTATCCCTCTCGTGGCTTATCTCTGGTCCTATCATGACCACAGGATGTTCACCAACATGCTTTCCCAGTCTGTGCAGGGAGAAATAAAAGCTCAGTAAACTTTGACAAATTTGGTCAACTCTCAAGGGAAACAAGGTGTTTATGACAGATTGTGTCTATAAGATCTTTTCTCTATGATTCCCATTTTGGTTGTGCTTGACATTTAAAATGAAAACTAACAGAGCAGTGCTGAGCAGAAACAGAAAGGAACAGTGATGGGCAGTAAACCAGGCCTTGCTTAGTATTTGGTGTCAGTGCCATGCATTCTTACCAGCAGCATTCAGTGTCACCACAAAAAGTGACATCTTCCTGAGGAACTGTTTACATTAGAAGACTAAAGAAAAGCTAAAACTTCCAGTTCTCCAACATATGTGGCAGTGTAATGGTATTCCCTCATTGTAGCCTCATTAAACACCTTTTGGTAATTTCTCTTTCACAAATAGTGAATATTAAAATGAAAAACCAGGCATCAGAACAAAAAGAAAAAAGAAAAAAAAGTATTTCCTAAAACAATAATTAAAGTTTCTTACATTTGATCCATAAAAGTCAACAGCTTTTTATGTATATTATTGATTATTAGTAGTGTGGTCGCAAATTCAGTCTTTCTTTGGTTGACAATTTCTATTTGTATTTAAAGAAAGGGAAACCTACAACAGCTGATATGACCCTTAAATTGTAATTCTAGATTAAAATCACTGTTAGTTTTCTATTGGTGCTATGACAAATTATCACAACTGAGTGGTTTAAAACAACACAAATAAATACAGGTGACTGGCAGGCAGAATAATGACCCAAAGATGTGTATGTCTTAATCCTGAAACATACAAATGTGTTACCTTATATAGCAAAAGGGATTTTTGTAGTCACTTTTGCAGATGTGATTAATTTAAAGATTTTGAAATAGGTAGATTATGCTAGATTAGCCAATGTAATTACAAAGGTCCTTTTAAGAGGGAAGCAGAAGGACCAGAGTCAGAAAAGGAGATGTGACAAAGGAAGCACAGGTCAGAGTGTCAAAATGACTTAAGGATGCAATGCTGCTGGGTTTGAAGAGGGAGGAAAGGGCCACGAGATAAGGAATGCAGACATCCTCTAAAAGCCAGAAAAGGCAAAGAAAAGGAAGGAAGATGTCAACAGGACTGTGTTCCTTCTGGAGGACACATGTTGACATCTGACATCTTCATTCAAGCCCAGTGAAACCCATTTTGGACTTTTGATCTTTGGAACAATAAGATAAATTAATGAGAACACATGGACACAGGAAGGGGAACATCACACTCTGGGGACTGTTGTGGGGTAGGGGGAGGGGGGAGGGATAGCATTGGGAGATATACCTAATGCTAGGTGACGAGTTAGTGGGTGCAGTGCACCAGCATGGCACATGTATACATATGTAACTAACTTGCACATTGTGCACATGTACCCTAAAACTTAAAGTATAATAATAATAAATAAAATAAAATAAAAGCCTTATCTTACAAAAAAAACCCAAAGCCTTCAATTCACCTAATATTTTTCAATAGAAAATTAGATAAATTATGGTATGTAACAGAATATATTTTGCATCTATTAAAAACAATGAGGTAGGCTGGGTGCAGTGGCTCATGCCTGTAATCCCAGCACTTTGAGAGGCCGAGGCAGGTGGATCACTTCAGCCCAGGAGTTCGAGACAAGTTTGGCCAACATGATGAAACCCTGTCTCTACTAAAACTACAAAAATTAGCTGGGCGTGATGACATGCGCCTGTAATCCCAGCTACTCAGGCAGCTGAGACACAAGAATCACTTCAATCTGGGAGACAGAGGTTGCAGTGAGCTGAGATCGTGCCACTGCACTCCAGGCTAGGCAACAGAGTGAGACCCCCGTGTCAAAAAATAAATAAATAAAAATAAAAATAGGCCTAGATAAACTAGCAAATGAACAAAAGCAAAGTGCAATACGTTTAGTTTCACTTCTGTATGTTTTTAAGAACACACAAAGAACTATGTACATACACTATTCTACACATCAATGTTCTTTTCTCCAAGGAGAAATGTATGGGGAGGATGACTTTTATTTGCCATTTTATAAATTTCTGTAGTATTTTTAATATGTGCATGTAATATTTTTATTTAATGAACACTTAAATGTGAATTTATGTTGTGCTTTTTTGGAAAGTGTTCAATGGCATATCCCATATTTTCCTAAGCGATTGTGAACCCAAATGAATGGGTAATATAATATAGGAAACTCCATAAAAATGTTATGAATTGATAGATAGCAGCTAATTCATTCTAAAGACTTTCTTTTCTTTTTTCTTTTACTCACAGACACTCTTTAGAAGTGATGTATTAGAAATGAGCTGGATTTTATGAATCATTAGCAACAGTGGGATGCAGTGGAAATAATAGTGGCCTGAGAGTCTCATCATGTCTCTTCCACTTGGATACCTTCAGCCTAATACTCAGCAATCTCCTGTATTAAAAAAAAAAAAGCGACTAGTTCATCTTTAAGAATCTGTCTTTTCTTAGAATTTCAGAATTCTAACATATTGATAGGAAGCAGAGGATTTGATCCTAATTTTAGTAGTCCTGTGAACCCTTTTGAGATTTTTAGGATCTTACATATTATATATTATAATTGAGAATGCTGATCCTCAGAAAAGGCATCTTATACCAAGGTGTGGGCTAGTTCCTGAGAACTGAGGTTTCTGTAACAAGAGCTTTTTAGTGGGAACTTCCAGTTTTGTTTTGTTTTTTTAATTTCCAAAATATGAAAAATGTACATTTGTCTATGATAATTCGGATCTTATTAAGATGGCCAAGGTTTTTCATAAGCAAAATCTATTCTGACGCCATCTACCCAAACAGATCCCTAACAATATTCACTGCAGAGAAATTCATTCTTGTGTCTACTCTAAGTGCACTTTTCAGAAATTTAATGTTATTGACATTTACTTTATTTTCAGTGAAGACAGAATAGCTGCTTATCACTCCAAAAATGGTAATAAACACTTCTTTTAAAAATATCTGCCATATGGGTTTGTATTTGTTTCTTGTTATTTCAAAATAACCCCAATCATTGATATATCAGAAGGGGAAGCATTTACATCTAGAAACAAGGCAAAGAAAACCATATGTGCTTCCACAATGGAGCACTCAGAAAAGTGAAAACATAGTACTGATAGATGCAGATGCTGTGTATGAGTCATGGGCAACAGGAAAGACAGCAACCACTCTGTCTTCATCAATAAGAGGACATTGATAACCAAGGGTCTCTGGAGAGTACATATACACACACACACACACACACACACACACACACACACATATACTCATTCATATCTGCAAATTGTAACGAAGATTGTACTTAAACATTATGTATGATTTTTTAAAAATTTATGATATGTATTTTTCTCTAACTTTGGTAACTGTTGAGTGCAAATCTTATAAAGACAAGCTCTGAAATACATCATCATTTATTCGTAAATTTCTCATTGCATAAATAAATGCCCACTTTTCAGAAACAATTTTTGCTGGAATAGTCTCATATTGTCCACCAGACATTTCACTTATAAATATCCACTAACCCATGTATGTGCCGTGGAACAGATCTCAAATTTTCCAATTGAGATTATCAATGAATTTGAATATATCTTGTCTTTCACAGCTGTATTAATCAACTCAATTTGTGGAGGATCCACTGTGTACTATAAACTCTGATGGAATACAAATATATTTTAAGACTGGGATTTCTGCCTCACTGAACATAAAGAATTAATAACACATGGTAAGTGTGCAGTGAGTTCTATAGATATGAATGCTGATTATAACCACTTATGGCTAAAAACAGTCTAATTTCAGTGGTTTATTTCTTATGCATGTTAATGAGATTTCCCTAAGCAAATGACAGTGAATATGGTCTTAGTAAGGAAAAATAAAATGCCTCTGATGATTGGCATTTATATTATAAAAAGCTTACAAATTCTTAATAATCCAGTATTCTTAAGTAGCAGAAAGAACAAAGTAATCAACAGATTATGTAAAACCCATTTTGCGCTGATTGTTTCTTCTATGCCACCTTTTCTCTATCTTCTAAGAAAGAGACAGAGAGATAAAAATAATTTGCAATTATGCAAAGGTTTTCTATCTTTTTGTACTGTATTGTATTACTCTCAAAATAGTTGAAGAAATCAGAAGGCCCTATCCTAGTTCAATCAGAATCATGCCAGAAGGCTTGCCCTAAGCATGTGTTAACTAACTAGTCCTAGGGGAACTAGACCAATGTAGGATCAAAAATAAAAATGAAACGTTTCCTTTTTCAAGCAATGGGAAAAATGCCTTAGTTTTCATGTATTTTTCACCCTTGAAAGATGAAACTCTGAAAGGCTAAATGGAATGTTTGTCTTCAGGTAGTAAAAGCCATAACTTCAAATTGGTGCTACCACAATTAGACCTGGGTGGAAGCTAGCAGATCTACAATTATGCCTGGATCTTGAATAAAGTGTGTTTTTCACAACTAAGCACAATTTTATTCTCGTTTCAATTATTTCAGGCATATCACCTCTGATAGTTGTTACGTGAATTCGAAGACTTCATACATAAAACTATTTCTCTCCCATACTTCATATTTCTTAGGGCATACTGGTTGAGTGTAATCTTCTTTCTCAACATTAACATTCTTGTACCTTCCTTCATCCTTATTTTAAAACCTCAAATCACTTGATGTGCACATCTATTAGACTTTACCATCCACCACCCATCCTTGTTGCTATGATCTTCTGTCTCCTAGTCCTTCTCTCCCTTTTACTGTTGACTTCAGCGTCTTTCTTAAGCCCAACTCTACCCTACTGAAGGCTTTGGTATCCATGTAGAGATCCTTTGACTACCCTGGTTCCTTTTTCATTTACTTAAGAAGCCTTCAGTGTCCCTGTTTGGCACTACCAAGGTCGTGTCATGCTTTGGCTGATTACCTTGGGATCCAGCACCTCTTGGTCTCTGATGCCCAGTCTGATAATGTACTGTGCCATCCTCCTGCCAAGGGTCCATTGCACTTCAACCTAACCTCCATTTCCTGTGTTCTATCTGGATCCCTTCAGATTCCACTTCCCTAAACTGATCTTTTTGTCTCTACCCAGCTACTTTCTGCAACATACTCTGACCCCTTCATTCTTTGCTGAAAAAAATTTATGATGTATATCTCTGTACAGGGTTAGGGACAGAATAACTGTGGGGTATCACAGAACATACACTGGAAAAATAAGATCACTCATTAACAAGCTGTGTGATCATAGGTAAGTGATATGGTTTAGCTGTGTCCCCACCCAAATCTTATGTTGAATTGCAGTTCCCATAATCCCCACGTGTCATGGGAGGGACCTTGTAGGAGGTAGTTGAATCATGGGGATGGTTACCCTCATGCTGTTCTCGTGATAGTGAGTTCTCCTGAGATCTGATGGTTTTATAAGGGGCTTTCCCCCTTTTGCTTGCCACTTCTCCTTGCTGCCACCATGTGAAGAAGGATGTGTTTGCCTTCCCTTCCAGCATGATTGTAAGTTTTCTGAGGCCTCCCCAGCCATGCTGAACTGTGAGTCAATTAAACCTCTTTACATTATAAATTACCCAGTCTCAGGTATGTCTTTATTAGTAGCATGAAAACAGACTAATACAGTATTTGAATCATTTTCTTACTCTTTGTGTCATGTTCCATATTTATAAAATAAGAAAATAGATAATTACATTACCTTTCATGTTGCATTAAGCTCTGACATAAATTATTGATACCAAAGTTTAAGACGAGAATCAAGCTACATCTTTACAATCTATAGCTCAAAGAAGAAAACATATAAAAATACATTTATGTATAGAAATAAAAGGGTGTGATTTTTGTGGGAAGTGTTTATACAAGTACAGATATGACCAGGGCAAAGGGTCAGTCAGCATTAGGTGAATGTTATCAGTGATGCTTTCTTGGAGAAAGTAAATTCGATGAAAGTGTTAGCTATGGATTGGCAGAGGTGCTGTGAAAACAAAGGTTTTTCGATCAATCCAATCACTTCCTAACTTCATGACAGAATGAAGCTTGCCCAGAAGACCCTATTACGTCAATAGTTTCGTAGAGGTTAAAATCAACTCCAACAATTATACAATTATACAAACTACGTGCAGAAGTTATAGAAACATAAAATTGGAATCACCAAAAAAATACCATATTTCTTGTGCCCCTATTCCATTTCCTCCCTCAGGCTTATAATCATGGAAGATACCAGATAATTTAAACAGTCATCTCTGAGGATAAGATTAGAACTTCCTGCCAGGTAGGAGTATACTGTCTCCAGGGGGATAAAAATTAAATTACAAGAAACAATTTCAAAACAGCTCAAGAATGCATATAAATAATTACCAAGTTGAAGTTCTGTAAATTTTTCTAGAGTTGTAGAAGGAAAGAGTAATCAATTTAAGAGCTTTTTTGCTAATTCACTGCTTAAAATATTAAGAGGAATTAGCTTTGAAGATCAGTTACCTGTCTCCTTGGGGTAGAGACCACTCACCACTAAACTGCACACATTCTTCTCCTCAAGCCTTGGGAAAGTCCTGACAGCAATCAGACCCCTTTCTACACATCCAAACAGAAGATATAGCCCCACACAGAGCAAGGTAGTCACACCATTTCCACTCACTCTATTCTCAGGCTACCTCCTAGATATAGTCATGACCAGCCTCTGCTCCATCTCAGAAACATCAGACTTCATTTGTTCACTCTCTGACCACACTCTCTTGTTATTGCTGTCCTCTCACACCCCAAGCCCACGTCCAAGCCTTTGACCTCAAAGAGATGTCTGGTCTACTCATCTTTTTATTTTCTTCCAGTCTATCAATTCCTGTTGGTCTCTCTTAATTTTTTAGATCATTGGTTTCCAGAATATTCCCAGCACCTTGAATTATTTAGCATGCCTAGCTCCCACTTACTCTCAGGGAGCAATGCCTTTTTTGTACTTCTTTATCTCAAATGCTGCTGAAGGTTTTAAGAAAAACATGTGTCTTTATAGCAGCATGATTTATAGTCCTTTGGGTATATACCCAGTAATGGGATGGCTGGGTCAAATGGTATTTCTAGTTCTAGATCCCTGAGGAATCGCCACACTGACTTCCACAATGGTTGAACTAGTTTACAGTCCCACCAACAGTGTAAAAGTGTTCCTATTTCTCCACATCCTCTCCAGCACCTGTTGTTTCCTGACTTTTTAATGATTGCCATTCTAACTGGTGTGAGATGATATCTCATAGTGGTTTTGATTTGCATTTCTCTGATGGCCAGTGATGATGAGCATTTCTTCATGTGTTTTTTGGCTGCATAAATGTCTTCTTTTGAGAAGTGTCTGTTCATGTCCTTCGCCCACTTTTTGATGGGGTTGTTTGTTTTTTTCTTGTAAATTTGTTTGAGTTCATTGTAGATTCTGGATATTAGCCCTTTGTCAGATGAGTAGGTTGTGAAAATTTTCTCCCATGTTGTAGGTTGCCTGTTCACTCTGATGGTAGTTTCTTTTGCTGTGCAGAAGCTCTTGAGTTTAATTAGATCCCATTTGTCAATTTTGGCTTTTGTTGCCATTGCTTTTGGTGTTTTGGACATGAAGTCCTTGCCCACGCCTATGTCCTGAATGGTAATGCCTAGGTTTTCTTCTAGGGTTTTTATGGTTTTAGGTCTAACGTTTAAATCTTTAATCCATCTTGAATTGATTTTTGTATAAGGTGTAAGGAAGGGATCCAGTTTCAGCTTTCTACATATGGCTAGCCAGTTTTCCCAGCACCATTTATTAAATAGGGAATCCTTTCCCCATTGCTTGTTTTTCTCAGGTTTGTCAAAGATCAGATAGTTGTAGATATGCGGCATTATTTCTGAGGGCTCTGTTCTGTTCCATTGATCTATATCTCTGTTTTGGTACCAGTACCATGCTGTTTTGGTTACTGTAGCCTTGTAGTATAGTTTGAAGTCAGGTAGTGTGATGCCTCCAGCTTTGTTCTTTTGGCTTAGGATTGACTTGGCGATGCGGGCTCTTTTTTGGTTCCATATGAACTTTAAAGTAGTTTTTTCCAATTCTGTGAAGAAAGTCATTGGTAGCTTGATGGGGATGGCATTGAATCTGTAAATTACCTTGGGCAGTATGGCCATTTTCACGATATTGATTCTTCCTACCCATGAGCATGGAATGTTCTTCCATTTGTTTGTGTCCTCTTTTATTTCCTTGAGCAGTGGTTTGTAGTTCTCCTTGAAGAGGTCCTTCACATCCCTTGTAAGTTGGATTCCTAGGTATTTTATTCTCTTTGAAGCAATTGTGAATGGGAGTTCACTCATGATTTGGCTCTCTGTTTGTCTGTTGTTGGTGTATAAGAATGCTTGTGATTTTTGTACATTGATTCTGCTATAAAGACACATGCACATGTATGTTTATTGCGGCACTATTCACAATAGCAAAGACTTGGAACCAACCCACATGTCCAACAATGATAGACTGGATTAAGAAAATGTGGCACATATACACCATGGAATACTATGCAGCCATAAAAAATGATGAGTTCATGTCCTTTGTAGGGACATGGATGAAATTGGAAACCATCATTCTCAGTAAACTATCGCAAGAACAAAAAACCAAACACCGCATATTCTCACTCATAGGTGGGAATTGAACAATGAGATCACATGGACACAGGAAGGGGAATATCACACTCTGGGGACTGTGGTGGGGTCGGGGGAGGGGGGAGGGATAGCATTGGGAGATATACCTAATGCTAGATGACACGTTAGTGGGTGCAGCACACCAGCATGGCACATATATACATATGTAACTAACCTGCACAATGTGCACATGTACCCTAAAACTTAGAGTATAATAAAAAAAAAAATTAAAAAAAAAAAACCAGGTCTTGCCAATTTGTGCCAATAAAATTCACAGTATATAATCTCAGATAAGTCCGTAATACCCCATCAATTGTTTTAATTGAATGCTCATCTCATTCTTGCATTTACCTGGCCATGAGAGTGTAGGTAGTTGAAGTAGAATGGGGTGGAGAGGGAAGTCATTGGAGGTGAGGTAATCAAAAAACTAAGTGCCAGGTTATTTGATGGGTACTCACATGGGAGTTTAAATTACTGAAGATGACCTGAGGACTCTGTGTTCAGGGAGATTATGAACCAGAGGCCAGTAATTGAGCTGGATGATCAGTGATGAGGAAGAGCTGATATGAGCCTAACAGATTAGTGTAAAACTGGAGTTGAGGTTGGTGAAGTTTAGGTCTGTGAAGCTACACTTCCTGGAAAATGAGAAGAGCCTTTAACCACATCCCAGCCTGAGGTGAAAGTGATGTAGGAGAATAATCAACATCCCCTAAAAGGCAAAAGACCAATAGGAGACCTGGCACCCAGCTCCCAGTCTCTCTCCTGACTTTCCCTTCTTCCTGACCTCATCTTTGATAGCTTTTCCATGTGAGCAGTCAATCCAACTGTCTGGCCTTATGGTTCCCTGATTGCCTCATTTTTAGGGGCCTTCCCCACATGTCTCTTTAGCTGTCTAGCCCATGGTAAATTCTGGAATATATCTGCACTGAACGCTGTGGTTCACCATCCAGATTTCTTTTTTTAGGACAGAGACATTTATTCCTCCAGCTCCTGAGAGCATTGGTGGCTGACCGCTTTCTACTAAGACCTCCCCTGGGACATCTCCTTGGATGTCCTAACCCAAGGTCACACCACCTTCCCATCACCAAAGCCCACACTTCATGACTGCCCTATGTGGGGGCATAAGAGCACAGCCCTCTTGCCTCAATATTGAAGGAAAATCCTAACCCCAAAGCTCCTTGTAGAATCAACTGAGGCTTTTGTTTTGATTCCTTCACAGTTCAACTTCTCTCTCTGTCCAATCATACTTCCTTCACTCTCCCATGATTGTTAATTCCCAGAGCTCTCCCTGGTATATTTCCTGTATTCTGATCTGTTTCTCAGATGCTGATCCCCAGGGAAAATGACCTCTGATGATATCAATAACTAAATCTGTTGCATATCTGAAATGTCATTTTAGTCAGACCCCTCTCTGACTACAGATCTCTGTCTTCAGCCCCCTCACTCTGATATTCACCTGGCACTTTTTTGTTGACTACATAAATCATCAGTTTCTTGGCTTCTCTACATCCTCCTTGCCTGTCATTCTTTTCCTGTCTTCATTGCCTTTCTTATCTTTCTTATTCAAGTGGAATTCCAAGGTGCAGAATTCTAACTCTTCTTTTGCAAATATCTGAAATCCACTTTGTACCGTTTTCCGCTAAATCTATGAAAGATTTAACTATGTAACTTCTCTAGACTTATACCACAGCAACTGAAAGAACTACTGTAAAAATCCATTTCCATTATCTTCAATTGCACTGAGCTCTCAATGACTCTTCTTTGTTTTAACTAGCTTATTCTCTCATTCTCCACAGTAACTTATTTCAAATACACTGCAAGAGTCTCAAAACCTTCTACCTAGCTAATCCTTTCTCACTCTCAGCAAATGGCCGTTTTTATATTTTTAGTTGAAGTATAACTTACATAAACTATACAAATCTATAGTGTATAGCTCAAAAGGTTTTTACACCTACTGCACCTGTTTAATAGACACCTAAATCAAGATAGATAGACGTTTCTAGCAAACAACAGGCTGCTTCGTGTACCCACCTAGTTGTTACTTCTCTACCTCATCCCTCCGCATAAATAACTACTCTGATCCCAATCAGCATTAATTAGTTCTGTCTGTTGTTGAACTTTATGTAAATGGAATCACAGTGTATGTTCTTTTGTGTCAGCCTTCTTTTGCTCAATATTGTCTGTGATTATTTAGGTTGTTGCCAAGGGCTGTGTTTGATTCTCTTTCTTGCTATTTAATACAACATTGTAGGCCAGGCGCAGTGGCTCGCACCTGTAATCCCAGCACTTTGGGAGGCCGAGGTAGGTGGATTGCCTGAGCTCAGGTGTTCGAGACCAGCCTGGGCAACGTGCAAAACCGTGTCTCTACCAAAACTACAAAAAATTAGCTGGGCATAGAGGCAGGCACCTATGGTCCCAGCTACTGGGGAGGCTGAGGTGAGGATCGCTTGAGCCTGGAAGGTGGAGGTTGCAGTGAGCGCGTATCATGCTGCACTCCAACCTGAGTGACACAGTGAGACCCTGGCTCAAAACAAAACAAACAAAAAAAATACATCACTGTATGAATATACCAAAATGTATTAACCCATTCTGCTACTGAAGATATTTGGGTAGTTTCCAGATTGAAACAGTTATGAATAACACTGTTTTAAATAACTGTGGATACATACTCAGGAGTGGAATTGTTCACTTATTGGAGATAGATATTGATAGGTAGGTAGATTTCATATATACATATATATATATAAACACACACAAATATAAATTAGTTCTTTCGAAAACTGTCTGGCAGTATCTATCATCTGTCTATCTGTCTGTCTATCTATCTAATCTTTTAGAAAATACTGCCAAATAGTTCTTCAAGCTATCGTATCAATTTACCCTCTAATCAGCAAACATGCTCTACATCCTCCCCAACACTTATTATTGTCCCTAAGTCTTTTCAATTTTAGCCATTCTGGCAGATATGTTGTGGGGTCTCCATAATTTTTTTTTAGCACTTTTCTGATGACTAGTGATAGGTACCTTTCCATATGCATATTGGTAATTTGGATGTATTCTGTGAAGTTTTTGCTTCATTTTTTATTGTGTTTTGTGTTTTTATCTAATTGGCTTATAAGATTTTGTTATATTTCTCTGAAATATTTATATATAATATATGAATATTTATATATAATATTTATAGAAATAGTTATATAACATATAAATTACAAATATCTTTTCCATATAAAAGATATTTGTAAAATATATATATAACAAATATCTTTCCCCAGTCTGTGGCTTGCATTGCCTTTTTGCTCTTTTCATATTATCTTTTGATTAACAGAAGTTCTTAATTTAAATAAAGTCCAATTTTATCTACTTTTCCTTTCACAATTAGTGCCTTTTTCATCCTGTTTATGAAACCTTGTCTGCCCCAATATCATAAGATATTCTCTTACGTTTTCTTCCATAGCTTCATTGTTTTTCTTTTAACATTTAGGTTTATGATACATTTTGAATTTATTTTTTGGTGTGGTATAAGGAAGAAATTAGGGATCACTTTTTCCAACCTTATATCTAATTGATTTACTGCCAATTTATGAAGAGACCATTCTTCTCCTACTAATTTGTGGTTGCAACTTTGTTTTGAATCAAGTGACTATAAATGTGCAGGTCTATTTCTAGGCTTTGTATTCTGCTCCATTGGTCTATTTGTCTATCCTTGCAGTGATACCACATTGCCCTAAATATTCCAGGTTTATAATTTGTCTTGATATTTGGTAGTGTATGTCCTATGCTTTTGTTATTCATGAAAGTTACCTAAGCTTCTCTAGTCATTTTCATATGGAATTTTAAAGTAGCATATCAATTCTTTAAAAATAAAACCCACTTAAATTAAATTGTGTTCTACCTACACATAATTGAAAAATATTGAGTCTTTGAGTCGATGAATATGAATATTTCCCCATTTATGCAGGTCTTCATAATACTTTATTATTCTTAATGTATACATCTGTACATCTTTCTTTAGATTTATTGCCAGGTATTTGCTGGTGTGTGTCCTATTTAACACATGTGTATAAATGCGAATAAATATATAAAAGTCAAAATATATAGAAATCAAATTAGTTTTTGTATGTTGACTTTGAATTCAGCAACTTGGTAAATTTACTTAATAATCAATGTGTGGATTGTCTAAGATTTTCTATTTACACAACTGTATCCTCTACAATGTAATGATTTTATTTATTGTTTTTCAATAAGAATATCTTTTATTGACTTTTTAAATAAAGATACTAATAACTTTATTATAGTGTTGAATAGAAATTTTGATAGTGAATATCTTTGTGCTTTCTTAATTTCAATGAAAAATTGATGGAAATTTCAGCATTGACTAGGGTATTAGCCACAAAGCTTTTGTAGATTTCTCTTATCATATTTTAAAATTTCCCTTTTATTCCTAGTTTGCTGAGAGTTTCCATCATCTGGTGTTGAACTTTATCAAACTGTTTGAACTTTATTCAGGTTCACCTTAAAGATCAGTGACCCTTAGCCTTGGCTCTACATTAGAATCACCCAGAGACTTTGTATCAGTCTGGGTTCAATCAGGAGACGAAAATCACACAGTAATTTGTATAGTCAAAAATCAGTATAAAAATTAACAGAGGATTGGAGCTAAGAGAGAGCACACAAAGAAAAGGCTACCTTCTTCCAATCTGACATCCAGACCTCACTGAAGGGGGCACAGCTGGGTCACTGGATGGCAGATAACTTCTCTGAGGTGCCACACTAGCAGAACTCATTGGAAAACTTATTCTGGAGTGCCAAAGAAAGCTATGCAGAAGAAGGAACGATGTTTCAGAGGTGATTGCGGAACTGCCCAACAGTTATCCACCAGAAGATGCCTAGCCAAGGCACTCTACTACAAAGCCACCTGAAGCGGGTGGTGGCCTGGGGAAAAACAGTCATGGAAACGAAGTCCACTAGTGGCACTCCCTTCTCTGACAGCAGAGAAATTGTGAAGCCACTTGAGGGTTGTACCAGTAGAAGGCACCGTGGACTGCTGGCCACCAGGCACTGACAATAAGCAATGAGCATGCTGCAAGAAGCTAATGAGAGGAGCACACTAGATCCAGGAAGGGAATCTCTGTTTTTCTGCATGGTCCCTCCAGCACCCTCTATGCAAAGCTTAATATCACGCTTGCTGCAAATGAAAAATACATAATGTATCCAGATCCCTAATTGCAAAGCAGTTTTAAAAAAGGAAGGATTTGGAGATAAGATGCAATAAATTGATTAATAGCATAGAGCTCAGAGCTTTTTATCACATACTTCCCAGCTTTTATTCTTCTCTGTTTTCCCTGCCCTACGGCCTTCACTTGTATTTTATGGGATCACCTTCCAGTTAAAATACCAACACTCAGGTCCCTGGTTCAGAGTTGCTCTCAGAGAATGCCAAAGTAAGATAGCGATCTACATGTGAGGTTTCTTCTGGCAATATTTCATGTTCCATTGAATAAAATACGACATCTATATTGAATTAAAACATTAGTTTATATCAGAATCCATCATTATCAGATATCAAATATTATTTATTAAAATATCATTATTTGGCTTCTACTTCAACATCAGCAAGTCACTCATTTCTTTCTTATATCATCAACCTTTCATACTCTATTCAATCTGTTCATTTGTATATAAAATTATAATTTCTCACATCTAAAAAATCCTTCTCTTGTCCCTAATTTTTCCTCTACCTAATGCTTGACTTTATCTTTCTTTTTAGAGAAAAGTTTGAAAAAGTTATACATACTTGCTCTTTCCACTATTGTCTCTTTATTTCACTCAAAACATGTTTTAACCCTCAACATTCCACCAAAATTGTTCTGGTCAAAGTCACCAGATCTTCTGTTTAGCTAAATCCAGCAGTAATTTATGTCTTCAACTTACTTGGTCCGTCAGCAACATTTAAAATCTTTACCCCTCATTCCTATTGAAATTTTTTTTTCATTTAGCTTTAAGAACATCACATTCAACTAATTTTCTTCTTGCCTTTCTAAATATTCCTTCTCAGTCTTATTTGCTAATTAATATCTCCATTTCCACATTCTAAATGTCAGAGTGCCGCACTGCTCAATCACTGAAATTTTTTCTTGTCAACTTACACTATCAACCTGGATGATTTAACCAGTCTCATAACTGGTGACTCATATTTATATCTCCTGCCTGGACATCTCACTAAATTCCAAAAAAGTATATCTATTTCACTATCTATAGATATTTGCAACTAAATACATCCAGAACTTAGTGTTTAATATCCATCCCCAGACAAGTTCTGATATGGTTTGGCTGTGGCCCCACCCAAATCTCATTTTTAATTTTAGCTCCCATAATTCCCATGTGTTGTGGGAGGAACCTGGTGGGAGATAATTGAATCACGGGGGTGGTTTCCCCCATACTGTTCTCGTGGTAGTGAATAAGTCTCATGAGATCTGATGGCTTTATAAGGGGAAACCCCTTTTGCCTGGCTCACATTTTCTCTCTTGCCTGCTGCCATGTAAGACATGCCTTTTGCTTTCCATCACAATTGTGAGGCCTCCCCAGCCACATGGAACTGTGAGTCCAATAAAATTTTTTTGTATGTATAAATTACCCAGTCTCAGGTATGTCTTTATCAGCAGTGTGAGAACAGACTAATACAGTAAATTGGTACTGGTAGAGTAGGGTGCTGCTGTAAAGATACCTGAAAATGTGGAAGCAACTTTGGAGCTGGGTAATAAGCAGAGGTTGGATCAGTTGGGAGGGCTCGGAAGAAGCAGGAAAATGTGGGAAAGTTTGGAACTTCCTAGAGACTTGTTGAATGGCTTTGACCAAAATGCTGATAATGATATGGACAATGAAATCTAGGCTGAGGTGGTCTCAGATGGAGATGAGGAACTTGTTGGGAACTGCAGTAAAGGTGACTCTTGTTATATTTTAGCAAAGAGACTGGCAACATTTTGCCCCTGCCCTAGAGATGTGTGGAACTTTGAACTTGAGGGAGATGATTTAGGGTATCTGGCAGAAGAAATTTCTAAGCAGCAAAGCATTCAAGATGTGAGTTGAGTGCTGTTAAAAGCATTCAGTTTTAAAAGGGAAACAGAATAAAATTTTGGACAATTTGCAGCCTGACAATGTGATAGAAAAGAAAAACCCATTTTCTGGGAGAAATTCAAGCTGGTTACAGAAATTTGCATAAGTAATGAGGAGCCATATGTTAATTGCTGAGACAATGGGGAAAATGTCTCCAGGGCATGTCAGAGATCTCTGTGGCAGCCCCTCCCATCACAGGCCTGGAGGCTTAGAAGGGAAAAGTGGTTTTGTGGGCCGGGGCCAGGGATCGGCCAGGGATCCTCTGCTCCGTGCAGCCTAGGGACTTGGTTCCCTGCATCCCAGCCACTCTAGCTGTGGCTGAAAGGGCCCGAGGTACAGCTTGAGCTGTGGCTTCACAGGGTGCAAGCCCCAAGCCTTGGCAGCTTCCATGTGGTGTTGAGCCTGTGGGTGCACAGAAATTAAGAATTAAACTTTGGGAACCTCCACCTAGATTTCAGCAGATGTATGGAAAAGAATGGATGTACAGGCAGAAATTTGCTATAGGGGCAGAGACCTCATGGAGAACCCCTGCTAGGGCAATGTGGAAGGGAAATGTGGAGTTGAAACCCCCACACAGAGTCCTCACTGGGGCACTGCCTAGTGGAGCTGTGAGAAGAGGGCCACCGTCCTCCAGACCCAGAATGTCAGATCCACTGAGAGCTTGCACTTTGTGCCTGGAAAATCCTCAATCAATGCCATCTCGTGAAACCAGCTAGGAGTTGGGCCATACCCCACAAAGCCACAGGAGCAGAACTGCCCAAGGCTGTGGGTGCCCACCTTTTGCATCAGCATGACCTGGATGTGAGACATGGAGTCAAATGATATCATTTTGGAGCGTTAAGGTTTGACTGCCCCCCTGAATTTGGACTTGCATGGGGCCTTTAGCCCCCTTATTTTGGCCAATTTCTTCCTTCTGGAACAGGTGTATTTACCCAATGCCTGTACCCCCATTGTATCTAGAAAGTAACTAACTTGCTTTTGATTTTACAGGCTCATAGGCAGAAGGAACTTGCCTGTCTCAGATGAGACTTTGGACTGTGGACTTTTGAGTTAATGCTGAAATAAATTAAGACTTGAGGGACTGTTGGGAAGGCATGATCGCTTTTGAAATGTGAGGACATGACATTTGGGAGGAGCCAGGGGTGGAATGGTATGGTTTGGCTCTGTGTCTCCACCCAAATCTCATTTTTAATTGTAGCTTTCCTAATTCCCATGTGTTGTGGGAGGGACCTAGTGGGCAATAAATGAATCATAGGGGGCAGTTTCCCCCATACTGTTATCGTGGTAGTGAATAAGTCTCATGAGATCTGATGGCTTTATAAAGGGAAACTCCTTTTGCTTGGCTCTCATCCTCTTTCTTGCCTGCTGCCATGTAAGATGTGCCTTTTGCCTTCCACCATGATTGTGAGGCCTCCCCAGCCACATGGAACTGTGAATTCATTAAACCTCTTTTTTTTATTTAATAAATTACCCTGTCTCAGGTATGTCTTTAACAGCAGTGTAAGAACAGACTAATACAAGTTCCTTCCACAGTTTTCCTCATCTCAGTTAATGAAATATCCGTTTATCAGTTGCTGAAGCCAAAGCTACGGTGTCAATTTTGCCCCCTCTACTTCTCTCATGTCCCAAATGCAATCCATCAGAACATTATAATTTGGTCCTACAGGTGCTACCTTCAAAACATGTCCATAGATTGATAGCTTCTCATCATTCCCACTGCCAATACCCTGGTCCAAACTATCATTACCTCTTTCCTGGTGTATAGGATGCTGTGATGTATGACACAGATACCCCTTTATGCCTGGAAGACTAACTTCCCCTGCTCAGGGAGTACTCTACTTCTGGTAGGCAGCAACTCAGTGGCTATCCCTCTTTGGAAATTGCCTCCATTGAAAAAGCCTATTTCATCCAAGGTTACATTATCTTCCTGGGACATCCCACATCCAATGACTAGTCCACATTGGGGGATAAAGGACAAATCTTCTAACCTAGTGCAGTCTGCTTGCCATTCCAGCTTTAGCACTCCCACTAGGGTGGCTGAGAACTTTTAGGACGTTATATCTCAACCCAACTTCTCCCATCACCTGATTCTGCTTTCTTCCCTTTCCTGCCATGGGAATCAATTCCAAGATCTAACTTACACTTACATTAATCTCAGTCTCAGAGTCTACTTCCCTAGGACCCTAATTCAACATCAGGACTATTGCAGAGGTCTTCAAACAGGCCTTCCTGTTTCTACCCTTTCTCCCCTTAGTTCTCAACACAGCATCCAAAGCAAATCTCCTAAAATCTAACTTTGATTATGTCCCTTCTCTGCATAAAACTCTCCTGTGCATCAACATCTCATGACCCTCTGAGATCTGAGATCTGGACCCCTGCCATTTCTTTAACCTTTTTATCTGTCTCAGTTTTCTTCATTCTGCTTCAGTCACACTGAACAGTCACACTGCCCTCTCTGCTGTTCCTTAAATATGTTAGGCATCTTTTAACTGCTTCTTGCTGTATTGTCTGCCTAGAATGCTCTCCTGTCATGTATCTACATGGCAGTTTCTTATGCTTTCATCATGTCTTTAGTCATCTATTCAATGGAGTCTTCCTTCAACATTTTATATCTTCCTACCCTCTTAATTCTTATCTTTAGCACATACAATTCAATACTATAATTCTGCTCCTTTACCTTATCATCTATTCCTCAAACTAGAATGCAAACTCCATGAGTACAGAAATCTCTGTTTTGTTTATTACTACATTTCCAAAGCCTAGAATAGTGCCTGGCAAGCCATGACTATTCAATTAAATATTTAGTAACTAATAAATAATCAAACTCAATTGTTAGTTGGTTAAATTACAAATAAAACTAATAATGTATGTTCTAGGATATTTTCTTTCAAAGACCAAATAAGTAAATTTAACATACTTTGTAAAATGAATTAGAGGGAAGAAGAGTCAGGAAACTAGTTAAAACACTCAGCTTGTGCAAATGTGAAGCAATACAGATTTGGAACCAAGACTCTGGCAATATGATTAGAATAGAAGGGGAAAACTTTGTTTTACTATGAAAATGATGAGAAGGTATGAAACAAAAAGTCAGAAACAGGACCAAGATAACTTAGTTACCAGGGATTTTTGAGGACAAAAAAAAAAAATGTTGTTTCATTCCAACAGGCATTTAAAGTTGTAGAGCTGAAACCAAGGAAAGATGTATACTAGAGATAAGTTGAACATTGTTTACAATGGGATACAAACTGAAAGCATGAAAAAAAGATCTTTTCAGGAATCAGAATAATGAGTTAGAAAAAGGTAAGACCAACCCTTGTGATATGCTGAAATTTTTAGGAGGAAAGAAGGAAAGGACAAATGGGACATAGGTAAGGCCCATCTAGGAGGTAGGTAGAAATGGAAACACTGCAGTATCAAAGAAGTCAAGAGAATAGTTTAAGAAGGTCAAGCTCAACAGTGATAAAAGCTTTAAGTAGGTCATAAAAAATAAGGCCTAAGAAAGCTGGTTGAATTTCTCAACTGGATGTTCATAGTATTTAAATTATTAAGTCACATAAGAGGAATGTAATTCTTTCATCATATGTATTTTAATCTGAGGTCTGTTTTCTTTGCATTGCATTTAAAAATATACATAAATTTACAACATGCTAGTTTATTAACACTTTATAGGAAATAGTATGTCTTGTTACTGTACTAATGGTTTGGCAATTAATAAATTGCCCATTTTAGAGAAGATGATGCAACCTACCCCTTTGCAAAAGTCCTAAGTAAAATCTATTAAATTATTTCAGGGTTTACATCTTGATTCCTTACACAGTCTTTGTTGCAACTATTTGACACTGCCATTATAGCTTGAAAGCAGCCATAGACATTATTAGAATGATGGATGTGACTGTGTTTCAATAAAATTAATTTACAAAAACAGGCAACTGACTAGACTGAGCCCATAGGCTGCAGTTTGTCAACTCCTAAGCGACTAAAAATATGCCAGAAGTGGAAACTATGGTGCCGTGATGTTGTCTATACTGAGATAGAAGCACAATTTTTTTTGTAAATGCAGAAAACATCCTCTTTTTTGTCTCCTAAAGTCTCTGGTTGTTGCATATTTTATTTTAAATATAACCATGTACCGAAGTCTGAAAAATTAAGAGTTCAAATGAACAGGCAGAGAAAAATATATGCTGTGACCCTCAGATCAAACAGCTTTCATATATTCATTAATATATCTTAAACATCTTTATGGGTTACCAATGATGCATAAGGAGCTGTGCTGGGTACTGTAAGAAACCCAAAGATGGGTAATATTCAGTCCCTTTCATCAGGAAGTTAAGAACCCAGTAGAAAAAATAATACATTCTTACAAATATAGGATGTTAAATACACATAGAAATGTGTCACAGAAGAAAATAAAAATACGTTTTTCTAGATGAGGGAGAAATTACTCTTAGCTGGCTTGAGGAAATGTGGAAGTTTAGGAGAGAGATCACAGCCCCTTTCCTGAAGGAAATAACATTAGGTTACTATGAAAGTAACTGTGTTTTTTGCCATTGAAAGTAATAGCAAGAACCGTAATTACTTTTTGCACCTCATATATGAGACATGTCTCATAGACTTGGATAAATACAAATTTAAAAGACAATCCCAAGGGAAAGGACATAAAAAACAAAGAGTACAACATACATAAAATCCCGGTGGTAAAAAAATAAAGCTATGTGAACAAAAATGAATAATTACTTTTTATAAAAATATAAAGTAATATGCTGAATGTAGATAAGGCCAGAGAGTTAAATGGGAGCAAGACATTATTGGGACTTAAAAGGCATTGGAACAGAATGAATCCAGGTTTGGGCAGGTAGAAGCTCACACAGTGTTTTAAGCCCTACTGAAGAAAAAGAATATATATAAAATTACATATAAAAGTAAACATGTATTCAGAATGAGAAAAGAAGTTACAACAAATCAAAAAGTTTTAAAAGTAGACAAACGCTACAAAAATCACAAGATCCAGAATCGATCTTAACGCTTGGATTATGTTACTATCTGAAATACCCCATTGACTGGCTACACTCTTCGATCATATTGCCACATGACAAAGACTATAACTCAGCCGCCTTTCCTCTAGCACAGCTGACCAACATGTTTTAATGATAGTATATAAAAGTGTCTTTCGGCTTCACAAAACATTGTTGATGATGGTAAATTTTTAGGAATACTGTCAAATTTGGGAAAGTGTTTATATTGCGAGATTTCAGGGCATTTCCAATTATCTTACTCAGTGACTAATTGTAAATATTTCTTAAATTGATGAAAAATTTGTCATTAATGTCCTCATATAGTGGCATATCATTCGTTTTATGCTATCTTTCTTGAAGGAAGTAATATGTGTCAAGAATTTAAATCTTTTTCCAGTGTGTTCAGATGATTCATGCCTCATGGGTAATCAGGTTAGTAAACAATTCAGGAACCTACTCATTATTTCTATTTGTAGAGCATGTGTCTTCTTTTTGATGAACTTAAAGGGAAGCAATCTCATAAGATGAGGAAACCTGAGGTGTGGCAATATCTATGGACCACTAAAATAATACTTTGAAAAATTTTAATTATGAATTATGTATTTCTACAGTTTGGAAACCTCATTACTTATTTCAGTAATTAAAGGTACTAGTGGAAATAGTTAAATTATTTTAAATGTTCAAAAATATATAACCAAAGAACACACCATCTTAGGAGGTCATAAAATTAATAATTCCTCCTGATGAAACAATTTATTATGATACATTTCTAGTGCCATCTAGTGTTTAAAAGAGTATATATGAATTTCTCAAAGACTATAGGCAAAATAAGTAAACAATTTAGTTTTAATTTTTATCAACATACATTCTTTGATTCTACATCTCAGTGATACCATCTAAGATTTTATATTAAAAATTGACAACAAAATAATTTTAAGCCCACAGAGCTTTTAGAAATTAATTAAATTCTTATGCAATAAAAGGAATTAATTCTGTCACTATGCTGAAAAAAGACAAGTCAGGACTTCAAGCTACTATAAGACAGAGAGACTAGTTCTCATTGAAATGTCTAATCCGATAGATATTTTCAATAGAGTCTTAGGTCAAGAAGAATATTTTTGGTTAAATCAAGATGAATTTAAGCTGTGTAAGTGATATCTTTTTAAACCATTATGACTAACTTTATAGCTCTACTAAAGGCAAAAGGTTTTATTTAACAAATCAGTCAGTTTACTGTTGCTGTCACCAAATCCAGATATTTAAGTATCTCAATTTTATCAAAATAACATAGCTTCCTTGATTTTACTATTTGTATCCTATAAAAACAATATTACATTAACAAACAAAAGCTTATCTAACCATTTTTTATTGTTATGTGCAAAACCTAAAACTAGAAATTTAAAAACTTCTGCAAATTCAACATGAGAAATAGGCAACAGACTTGTTTTCTTTATCCTCCTTTTACTATTAATTCACTGACAATATAAAACAGCTGATTTAGATATCATTAAACTCATATTGCTCTTCTATTCTGAGGTTTTAGACTGAGAAACAAAGTCAAAACAAATTACAAATTCAAAAACCAAATGCATACTGCAAATATCATAAGATGAGACACAACCAAAAAAGAGAATTTTAGACCAATATCCTTGATGAATGTTGATGCAAAAATCCTCAATAAAATACTGGCAAACCAAATCTAGCAGCACATCAAAAAGCTTATCCACCACGATCAAGTGGGCTTCATCCCTGGGATACAAGGCTGGTTCAATATACGCAAATCAATAAATGTAATCCAGCATATAAACAGAACCAAAGACAAAAACCACATGATTATCTCAATAGATGCAGAAAAGGCCTTTGACAAAATTCAACAACCCTTCATGCTAAAAACTCTCAATAAATTAGGTATTGATGGGATGTATCTCAAAATAATAAGAGCTATCTATGACAAACCCACAGCCAATATCATACTGATTGGGCAAAAACTGGAAGCATTCCCTTTGAAAGCTGGCACAAGACAGGGATGCCCTCTCTCACCACTCCTATTCAACACAGTGTTGGAAGTTCTGGCCAGGGCAATTAGGCAGGAGAAGGAAATAAATGGTATTCAATTAGGAAAAGAGGAAGTCAAATTGTCCCTGTTTGCAGACGACATGATTGTATATCTAGAAAACCCCATTGTCTCAGCCCAAAATCTCCTTAAGCTGATAAGCAACTTCAGCAAAGTCTCAGGATACAAAATCAATGTGCAAAAATCACAAGCATTCTTATACACCAATAACAGACAAACAGAGAGCCAAATCATGAGTGAACTCCCATTCACAATTGCTTCAAAGAGAATAAAATACCTAGGAATCCACCTTACAAGGGACATGAAGGACCTCTTCAAGGAGAACTACAAACCACTGCTCAATGAAATTAAAGAGGATACAAAGAAATGGAAGAACATTCCATGCTCATGGATAGAAAGAATCAATATGGTGAAAATGGCCATACTGCCCACGGTAATTTATAGATTCAATGCATCCCCATCAAGCTACCAATGACTTTCTTCACGGATTTGGAAAAAACTACTTTAAAGTTCATATGGAACCAAAAAAGAGCCTGCATCGCCAAGTCAATCCTAAGCCAAAAGAACAAAGCTGGAGGCATCACGCTACCTGACTTCAAACTATACTACAAGGCTATAGTAACCAAAAATATCATAATGTTTTTATATGTTTTTAACCTAGGTTTACTTTTTAAAACTCAGAGTAACAAACCACTCCCTTCAGCTCACATAGGCATTTGTAACAACACAGCAATGCCACGCAAAGATTACTCTCACTTCACACTGATGAAATGGAATGGTCCGTTTTATACGTCATCTTGACTGGGCTAAGGAATGCCCAGACAGCTGGCAAAATACGATTTCGGGGTGTGTCTGTGAGGGTATTTCTGAAAGAGATTACCATATGAATCAGTAGATTTATTAAAGAAGATTTACCCTCATCAATGTGGGCCAGCATCATCAAATTCACTGAGTGCCCAAATAGCACAAAAAGGCAGAAGAAGGGTGAATTTGCCTTTTGCTGCAGCTGGGACATCCATCTTCTCCCATCTGGGGTACATTGATGCTCCTGTTTCTGGGGCCTTTGGGCTTGAACTGGAATTACACCACCAGCTTTCCTGGGCCTCCAGCTTACTGATGGCAGGTCCTGAGACTCCTCAGCCTCCATAGTTGTGTGAGCCCATTCTTCAAAATAAATATCTTTCTATATGTCTATACATATACTATTGACCCTGTTTCTTTGGAAAACCCTGACCACTACAATTGGTGCTTCTAAACCCAGGTGGATGCACAATGTTCAGTCCTCAGGAGACTCATCCACACAGCCACCACCTCTCAGTTGCCCTGTTTCTGCAGGGGCAATGTTAATTACACTCAGACTGGTCAGTCTAGTCCAGGCTTACAAGGGCCAGGAGCACTGTACCAGGCATCATAGGACTACATTTCTAGGACTACATTTCCAGGACTACCAGGAAGTCATGGAAGTATTTGATAAGTTCATTCATTCAAGAAGTTTTCAATCAACAGTTTGGCAGTACTGAGCTCCAGTCAACCCCAGAGGAGGAGAACAGGGGGTGCAAGGCAGGCAAGTTGTGCTTGGCTAGACAGTCCCTAATTAAAACTGCTAGCAATAGCAGCAGTAGAGATGTGTGAGTATATGTGAGGAACTGTGTATGTGAAGTGACAAGCAATGCAGCTAAGCCTCTCTAATAGCCCAATGGAGTATATTTTGCTGTGAGACCATCTTTGATCCATAAGCACACATCTTACCTCTCACGTGGCAGGCTCTCAACTACTTTGCTTTACCTGCTAGGTACTAAATAAAAATACTCTGAATGAGGTCTCCCTTTAAAAAAAAAAAAAAAAAAAAAAAAAAGCTACTGCAAATGAGAAAAATTTTCTGTATCTAGAGAGGGAGTAATTTTTACCTTGTTAGTTTCTGATTAATGCAGTTGCTGTTAAATTCCACCTGCTGATTAGAGTTGCAACGTTAAAAAAGCTCCCAGAAATAGTTCTTGAATTATTCATCTTTAACCCTAAAATGTATTCTGGTTACAACAGTGGATAGTTAAATCTGGGCTGACAATTCTTACTTATACTCAATTTGAACACTAATCCTCAAGCGGAATATAGAAACGACAAACAAGAAAGAGTCATAAATTTGACCTGTCATTGTGTTTGCTCACTATTTTTTCCTTTAAACAACACATTACAAATTGCTTCAGATGTGATATAATCTTATTACATAACAAAAAGTTTTATCATTGGAACATTTTTAAACTGAATTTTTTTATTTTTCAAAAAATAAATTTATAGGAAAGCCACATATGAATTATATATTTTATTGTAAAAATATTTTTATTTAATTCATTCATTCTATCCTTTTTTCCACATAGAATTGCAATTAAGCAGTCTCAGGCACATGAAAGCAAATTATTTTAACCATCTAAGAAGTTCCAATCACAACTACCTTCATTTGATTCTTTCCAGTATTTCACAATTTTCTCTTTACAGAAATTCTGTCTAACTAATAAGTGTTTATTTTTTATCCTTGGGTATTTCTGTTAAATACCCAAGCCAATTTCTTAGGTCCTGTATTCAAAGAAAATCAATATTAGTGCATCATTCCTTTTCATATATATATGAAAAACAAGCTTTAAGATGCCTTGTGAAGCTTTCCTCTGTAAGATAAATAATCGTTTCTTTTTTTTGGTAGGTCTTTACTCCAAACCCTCTAAGTCAAAATAGTTTATTTACTTAAAAATTCATTTGTTTGTTCTTTCATTTAATATTAAAATCTTTTCTTGATTCCGAAAAAGCTGGAAGCATTTTACAGATTTAAAGGACAATTTTTTCAGAATAAAGCACAAAGGAAAGCAAAGATGAGTAAAATGTTTAAAGAGTGTCATAAGAAAAGGAGCAAATGCCTTAAGATATGAGACAGTTAATCTTTTATTATGCAATCCTGGATAAGCCAGTTTCAGTTTTTGAATTTCTAAGAGTCCCACAATGGTGAAAATCATTAAGCCACTTACGAGAGCTTAATGCTAATCATACCACACAGATTCTCGATGTTCTCTTGCCTACACTAGCTCAGGTGACATTTTATGGACCAAGTGAGCAAGAGGAGATGAGCCAAAATGGCCTGAGGAACAAATCAGACCAGCCCAATGGGACAGTGACCCTGGCTGGGAGAGCTGGAAACAACAAAGTCACATTATGACCTGGAGAGAGAGCCTTCTCTGCAGGTTCCACTTTAAGCCGTACCCCTTCCAATCTGACCGTTCTCAGCATCTCTGCCTCCATCACACTGACCCAAGGCACTAGTTTTTACCTTTCCTGTGTCACCACAGTAGTCTCCTAACTAGCTTTCCTGCTTCTACTCTTGGCCCCATGTATTATAATAATAGATATATAGTAGATAATTGGCCCCATCTATTGGCTATCAATTATTATAATTATATATGTTTAATATATTATAATTATCTATAACATACTTAATATATTATGATTATCTATTATCCAATTATCTAGAATTAAATATATTAGATATAATATAATTGAATATATCATATTTAATATACATTAAATGATATATTTTTAATTTATATATAATCATAATATATTAAATGTATAATATATTTAATATAATAACAATAGCCAATAGATGAGGGCCAATTTTCTACTATATATCTATTATTATAATACATGGGGCCAAGAGTAGAAGCAGGAAAGCTAGTTAGGAGACTGCTGTGGTGACACAGGAAAGGTAAAAACTAGTGCCTTGGTTCAGTGTGATGGAGGCAGAGATGCTGAGAATGGTCAGATTGGAAGGGGTACAGTTTAAAGTTTAATATTTAATAATTGTTAAATATATATTAAATATATAATTATTAAATATTAATATATATGATATAATTAAATATATTATATTTCCGGCTTCCACTCTTGGCCCCATCTATTATAATAATATATATAATAGTTCTTCACATAGCAGCCAGAAGAATCCACTTAAAATATAACTTGGATCATGTCACTCTCCTCCACAAAACTCTTTGGTAGCTCTCTATTACCCCCAACATAAAATGAACCTCCTTTACTAAGACTTAAAGGACTTACTGTGAGCTAGCTCCAGCATATGTATATCAGGCCTCATTTACTACCACATTCTCTCCAGTCATACTGACTCCCTTGATCTTTCTCAAATACCTCAAGAACACTCTCACTTCAGATTCTTACGATTGCTGTCCCTTTGCCTCAAACATTCTTTCTTCAGATATTTGCTTGTTGATACTCTCACTTCAATCAAGTCTTCTAATCAAACATCTAAAAGATGTCTTCCATGACCATGCCATCTAAAATGGCTGCCACCCATCACTCTTAGTACCACACCTGCCTTTCCTTTTCTCTTCATAGCACTTACAATTATCATTTATTTGTATGAGAATTGACTGTCTCCACCACTAGAATGTAAGATCCATGTGGACAGAAACATTGATATCTTTTCAACAGTGTCCTTCACTTAGAACAGTAACTGGTACATATGGTGCCACTATATACTTATTGGATGAAGAAAAGATTAAGTAAGAAACTCTTGATATGATAGAGAGGAATTTAAGGAAGTCTAGAGCTTCCAGTTTTCTTAAGGTGGTATTGAACTAAAAAAAAAATGTATTTGATATTGCCTAAAGAAATATTGTTGATCTCCTGACATCACAAACTGATGTTCGCATTTGGATGTTTGAAAGGTACCTAAAACTGAAATCCACGCTTGATCTTACCCCAAAACCAGTGCTTCCAGGTTCTAGGTTACCAATTTCTGACAGTTTTATGTTCTGACCATGTTCAAGGTACCCTATTTATCTCCATCTCTCTCATCACTTCTCAGGTCTAAGTTAGGAAAAGGCCCATCACACTCACCTGTTAACATGACATCCATCATCATCTGCCCCCAGTCTACACTCCACTGTCATCAAACTGATACCTTTAAAATGCGAATCAGGTTATCCCCACATTCACCACCACATCCCACACACATACACACAGTCACTTCCACCTAAAGTGCTTCAAGGCTTCCCAGTTCTTTTATAATAAAGGCAAAATTCTTAACACTGTCTCCAAGGCCCTACATGGCCTGGCCCTGTCGACCTCACAATCACTATCTTGCCTTCTATGCTGGTTCTCTGTTTTCAAGGCATACAGCCCCTCACTCTCCTCACAGAGAGCCTGCAGTCCACTTTCCTTCTATGAGAATGCCCTTCCTCCTTGTCCCTTCTCAGTCCCTCCTTCTTGGCTCAGTTGATTTCTACTCATTCCTTAGAATGAGTGGTTTGTCTTTCACAAAAATGGCCACAACAACACTTTTGTTCCATAAGAGCTTCCCCAGAACCTTGACTCACTCCCATAAAGAGGTGGATTCGATTTTCTCTTCTCCTTCAAGCTGGCCATAACTTTGTAACTACCTTCAGAACAAAACAGTAGAAGCAACACCATGATACAACTTCTGTCTGCCTCTTTCTCTCTCAGAATTCTCATACCTGGAACCCAGCAATGAGAAAGTCCAGGCCTCATGGAGAGGCCCCATATGTGCTCTGGTCAAGATCCCCCTGCTAAGGTCCTTGCCAATAGCCAGGCGAATGACTAAGCTCTCAGATGACTCCAGCTCCCAGCTATAGAATCCCCTTTCCCTGCACCCTCCAACCAGGTCTTTAAATCTTCCATTTGAGACTCAGATATCATGAAGCAGAGACAAAAATTCTATGTCCTGAACAAATTCCTGATCCACAGAATTTATGAACATAAATTTTGTTTTCTGCCACTGACTTGGGCCAATTTGTTACCAAACAGTAAATAACAGAAAGAGATCTCACTCAAAGTCCCCATCCTAAAGGGAGCTTCCTCTAGCTAGGACAGAATCCTCTTCCAGAGCTCCACAGACCTCTTTCACAGAAACATTTTATGTTTATTTGTGTGATTATTTGACTTTAAATTCTCAAGTATGTTGGATCTCTCTTTTTTCTCTCTGGTTTCTGTCTATTCTTTAAGTCAGATAAAATCCAAAATCAAAATGTCCATTTTCATGCTGCTGATACAGACATACCCAAGACTGGGAAGTTTACAAAAGAGAGAGGTTTATTGGACTCACAGTTCCACATTGCTGGAGAGGCCTCACAATCATGGCAGAAGGTGAGAGGCACATTTCACATGGCGGCAGACAAGAGAAGAGAATGAGGAGGAAGCAAAAGCAGAAATCCTTTAAAAAACCATCAGATCTCATGAGACTTATTTACTACCAAGAGAATAGTATGGGGAAAACTGCCCCATGATTCATTTATCTCCCACCAGGTCCCTCCCACAACACGTGGGAGTACAATTCAAGATGAGATTTGGGTGGGGACACAGAGCCAAACCATATCATTCCGCCCCGGTCCCTCCCAAATCTCATGTCCTCATATTTCAAAAACAATCATGCCTTCCCAAGAGTCACCCAAAGTCTTAACTCATTTCAGCATTAACTCAAAAGTCCACAGTTCAAAGTCTCATCCAAGACAAGGCAAGTCCGTTCCACCTATGAGCCTGTAAAATCAAAAGCAAGTTAGTTACTTCCTAGATACGATGGGGGTACAGGCAAACTTCTGCCTGGGCATCCAGGTGTTTCCATACATCTCCTGAAATCTAGGCAGAGGTTCCCAAACCCCAATCCTTGACTTCTGTGCACTTGCAGGCTCAACACCACATGGAAGCTGCCAAGGCTTGGGGCTTACACCCTCTGAAGCCACAGCTTGAGCTCTATGTTGGCCCCTTTCAGCCACAGCTGGAGAAGCTGGGATGCTGGGCACAAAGTCCCTAGGCCTGGCCCAGGAAACCACTTTTCCCTCCTGGGCCTCTGGGTCTGTGATGGCAGGGGCTGCTGCGAACACCTCTGACATGCCCTGGAGATATTTTCCCCATTGTCTTGGGAATTATCATTCAGCTTCATGTTACTTATACAAATTTCTGCAGCTGGCTTGAATTTTTCCTCAGAAAATTGGATTTTCTTTTCTATCCCATTGTCAGGCTGCAAATTTTCTGAACTTTCATGCTCTACTTCCCTTATAAAATGGCACTCAAGTCACATCTTGAACACTTTGCTGCTTAGAAATTTCTTCCACCAGATACCCTAAATCATCTCTCTCAAGTTCAAAGTTTCACAAACCTCTATGGAAGGAGCAAAATGCCACCAGTCTCTTTGTTAAAACATAACAAGAGTCACCTTTGCTCCAGTTCCCAACAAGATCCTCATCTCCATCTAAAACTACCTCAGCCTGGATTTCATTGTCCATATCATTATCAGCATTTTGGTCAAAGCCATTCAACAAGTCTGTAGGAAGTTCCAAAGTTTCCCACATTTCCCTGTCTTCTTCTGAGCCCTCCAAACTGTTCCAATCTCTGCCTGTTACCCAGTTCCAAAGTCACTTCCATATTTTCAGGTATCTTTTCAGCAGCACCCTACTCTACTGGTACCAATTTACTGTATTAGTTCATTTTCATGCTGTTGGTAAAGACGCACCCAAAGCTAGGCAATTTACAAAAGAAAGAGGTGTATTGAACTAACACCATGTTGCTAACACCATGTTCCATGTTGCTGGGGAGGCCTCACAATCTTGGTGGAAGGTGAAAGGCACATGTCACATGGCTGCAGACAAAAGAAGACAATGAGGAGGAAGCAAAAGCAGAAACCCCTTAAAAAACAATCAGATCTCGTGAGACTGATTTAATACTATGAGAATAGTATGGGGGAAACCACCGCCTTGATTCAATTTTCTCCTACCGGTTCCCACCCACAACACATAGGAATTATGGGAGTATGATTCAAGATGAGATTTGGGTGGGGACACAGAGCCAAACCATATCACTTAGTAAGTTAGGAATCAAGGGAGGAGGAGGGGAACATTCTTTGGCTAATCTTGAGTTAGAAGATTCCTAGAATTCTTATTTTAAATTTAAAAAAGTGTGTAGTCACAAAGAGACAAATCCTATATAATTCCACTTTTATGAAGTATGTCAAATTCATTGAGACAGAAAATGAAATGGTGTTTGCCAGGGCCTGGGGAAAAGGAGGTGGGGAAGTCATTGTTTGATGGGTTTAGAGTTTCAGTTTTGCAAGATAAAAAGAGTTCTGGGGATGGATGACAGTGATGACTGCATAACAAGACGAATGTATTTCATACCATTGAACTGCACACTTAAAAATGATTAATATGGCAAATCTTATGTATCTTTTACCACAATAAAAACAATTATTGGGGGGAAACAACTGTATACTAGTCCCCTCCAAGGACGCTTATGAGGACAGTTGAGAGTTTGCAAGAAAACATCAACCACTTTGGAGTTAAAAAACATAAGTGCAGGCTGGGCGCGGTGACGCACTTCTGTAATCCCAGCACTTTGGGAGGCCAAGGTGGGTGGATCATGAGGTCAGGAGTTCAAGACCAGCCTGGCCAAGATGGTGAAACCCTGTCTCTACTAAAAATACAAATAAATAAATACATACATAAATAAATAAGTCGGGTGTGGTGGCAGGCATCTGTAATCCCAGCTATTCGGGAGGCAGAGGCAGAGAATTGCTTGAACCCGGGAGGTGGAGGTTGCAGTGAGCCAAGATCGTGCCACACTGCACTCCAGCCTGGGCAACAGAGCAAGACTCCATCTCAAAACAAACAAACAAACACATAAGTGTGACTCTTGTCTTCATTGCTTCTTAAGGAGTGGTCTTTGGCAAGTGATTTAACTATTTGAGACACAGCTTTTTTTTATTTGTAGTATGGAAATAATAATGGTATCTAACTCATAGTGTCTTGTGAGAAATAAGCTTTTGTAAGTAAATATTTTTATAAACTCTAAAGCTCGGTATACTTTGGAAGTATTTTAGTATCAAAAATAATGATGATAAGAAATCCAGTTACAGGAAATTCTTGACTTTCTTCTAAGCTGCACATTCTCAAATTATACATTGATGGCTTTTAATTGCCTTTCATATGTCAAATGTGAAGTATCATTACCTCAAAATAATCATTTCCAGCATGAGAATCTGCTTTCTTCTGTGACCGGCTTAGACTTCATGATGCATAATTATGAAGGCTAAGCCGGTCACAGAAGAAAGCAGATTTTTCTGTTTTGCAAATGCCCTCTACTCCCAAGAATCTCGTTCTCATGTTTGTCATGAAAACTCTTCTTACCTAAGCCTGAGCAGCTAACTATGCTGAAGAGAACACATAACTAAGACAGATTAGTTTAATATCTAGAGATTCCCTGACATTGAGACCTCCACTAAGGTTCTAGAAGGAAGATGTCAGCCTGATTCATTCTCCAGACCCATTTCATGCCCTTTTCCCTTGAATTCACTTTTGGGGAGAAAATGGTATTTTATGTCACTTAACCTTAAACAAACAAACCACATCCTTCTATCATCAGATGTCTTTACCTGAGAAATGAATTTGACTTGGGGGTATGTCATCTATTGTATGGAATTGTGATTGAGCTAGGCACTTACCAAGTTGGCTATCAACCTCTTACGATGAGGAAACACTGATGTTAAGTGCCTAATCTTGGCAGTAATGACTCTGACCTTGAAGAGGATATCCTTAGATTTCCATCCTTCTCACAAACTCATGATTACTACCTTCTCAGTCACCTCCACAATGTTTTACCAAAACAAGCAAGCACTACATTTAAAAACAAGCCTATTCCTGCTGTGGTCTGAATGTTGTGTTCCTCCAAAGTTCAAGTTGAAACTTAATCCCCATTGCGGTGGAATTAAGAGGACGGACTTTTTTGAGAAGTGATTAACTTATGAGGGCTCCACCCTCATGAATTAATGCCCTTTTAAAAGAGGCTTCAGAGAGTGACCTGGCCCTTTCGTCCCTTCTGCGATGTAAGGACACAATGTTCATTTTCTTGGGACGATGCGGCCAAAAGGCACCATCTGGGAAGCAGACAGTGGGCAGTTACCAGACGCTAAATCTGCCAGCACCTGGGACATGGACACCACAGTCTCCAGAACTGTGAGAAATAAATTTTTATGCTTTATAAATTACCTGCTCTGTACAGTGTTTTGCATAGCAGCAGAAACGGATTAAGTCAAACACTTTCATCTTTTTTCTGTCTTTGTTTTTGTTGAAATCTGCCTTAAGAATAGGGTACAGGTGTGTGTGTGTATGTGTGTGAAGAAATGAGTGGAATATTATTTTCCCACCCCCCAATAATCTTGTTCATACTCTCAGGTACCACAGCCTATCACCTTGAGACTGCTGGGCAAATAGGAAAGAGGATAAACAAGACAAGGGGAGAAGAAGGAGGGTCTGTGGGACTAATGAGCACTCTAAGGAGAGCAGGGACAAAGTAACACTCTAAACAGAGAGTGGGGCTTCTCTCTCTCTCACTTCCTCTGATTTTAAGTATATGAGTAACACCCAGACACACACACACAAAGAAAGCTAGGGTTACTGATAAGGGAGGAGGCAATGATGGAGCAGTGAATGGGTGACAGGGAAAGCAGAAAGAAACAGAAATATCTATTGGTCATTGCTTGGTGCCTCTTTTAGTTTTCTAGTGCTGCCGTAAGAAATAACCAAGAATTTAGCTCCTTAAAACAACACAAGTTTATTATCTCACGGTTAAGTCAGAAATCCTATGCTTGGATAGTTTCTCTGGGTCCCACGAGACTGAAATCAGGATATCCACAGGGCTGAACTCCTTTCTGGAGTCTCTGAAGATGAATCTGATTCCACCCTTGGCAGAATCGATTATATGCAGTTGTAGAACTGGGGCACTTGTTTTCTTGCTAGCTATAGGCCAGGGGTTGTTCTCAGCTTCAGGATGAGAACAGGTTACTGCCCACGTTCCTTGGCTCACAGCAACATTGGACCAAGTTTTTCACATGCTTCAACTCCCTCTGACTTCCCCATCTGCCATATCGCTGTTTCTGCCTCCATTTTCTGCCTTTGAGAGCTCATATGATTACAGTGGGCCCAATTAGAGTCAGCTGATTGGTGACCTTAATCACATGTATAGAGCCTTTCAGGACAATATCTAGATTAGTGTTTGGTTGAATAACCAGGGGATGGAAATCTTGGGTGGACAACTTTAGAAATCTGCCTACTGTAGTGTGAAGTGCCATGCTGAGATAATACATTCCATATATTATCAAATTTAATTTTCCAAAAAATAGTATAACCAGGTGATAAGTACTGTTATCACTAAAAACAATAGCAACAACAAAAATCTTCCTATTGTTTGTTTCCAGCTGATGATAGCTATCAAGCTACTTTAAAACATCTCTAATAGGATTTTGTTTTTAAAGTTATATATTTAAAAAATAACTCTTCAAAGAACATGTCTGTTGCATAAGCAAGGGACAAGTATAACTGAGGTTATTTTGTATCATTTTAAAGAAAATCTCAACCTGCCTTCTCTCTATGCTCATTTCCATAGTGTGGCCAAAAATCCTAATGCTGAATTAGTGATCATGGCATTTCCATGGCAACATACCAGGGTGCCGCCAGCATAAGGCCTTCTTCTCTTAACTGCAGCATAAACAATTCACCTGATTATGGGCTATTAAAAGGCCACACACAAGGACATGTAAGTAGAAAAAGAAAGGGAAGGTTCTGGTAATGTACATTGGAATACATTTTGGCAATCCCTAATAAGCAACCTGAGAAAGAAGATACTGAGAAAATGGTAAAGAATTCTTCCAATTGGATTTTGCAAAAATTGGACAGGTTCTCAGCCAGCTGACTTTGTGGAAGTGCTTCTGCAAGATTTTAGGATAGTTTTTCTCTGTAGAAAGTGCTGATTTTAAAATATTTCTCTTTCCTTCTCCCTCATTATCCACACACACAAAAATTCTTTTCTCACTACATAAATACAAAAGTAAGACAGTTTATGACATACTTATGTTATGTATATATTATTTTAAGCCAAGAGAGAGAAGTAAAAGAATATATAATTTGGATTTTTTTATATCAGAAACAAAGCCCAGGAAGAAAACATCTTTTTAAAAACATCATTCACAAAGTTTCTTTAAACCCAGCAAAACCCATACCACTGTCTTGGTAGGTGTCCTACAAATTGTGAGTAGATAAACTTTGAATTGAGCCTTTCCAGACAGACCCCTTAGTATCATATGTATCCTTGTCTAGGCTGTCAACTAATGCAGAGATTTCTGTCTACCTTATCATTTTTTAAAATTCAAATACTCATGGGGGAAGACATGTTTTAAGTCACATTAAAATGAGTGAGTTTTATCAAGTACAGTATCTTACTATCCAGCTGTTCAGAGCCCACCACTATCCTTAAGAAAAAGGGGTAGAACCACTTCCCTTTAGGCACATCCTTCCTATACACCCCCAGACTGCCTTTTTATAAGTTCTGCCCCCAAGGGTGCTATTGCTATGCATTTCACATTTTGGCTTTAACCCATGCTGACCCCATGTTCATATGGCGTGTTTTGCCTGTGTAAAAGGTTCCAGAAGATAAATTTTGAGGATTTATACATTTGATGACCCCACCATTGAAAGTTTTAATACAAAAGACTCTCTCGTCTCTGACAATGTCACCATTTTACCAGAACAAGCATTTGCAAAATTATTATTCAACAAGGTTAACACTTTCATCTGTTAGAGCCTTACAGAAAAAGCAAAATATTACACAAAGAAAATACAGTCTATCAACATTATAAGAGCCTTTTGATATGACCCAGTAAAGCATTGTTGGTGATCAATATACAAAGCAACCAATGCAGCCACTTAAAGCTGTTAGCATTCATAAGTGGTTGTGTCAGCAAGACCTCTGTTTCATTTTGAAAATGGAATTATATGTTATGTGGAATGCTGAATTGCAGTTATGACTATCTTATAAAATCTAAAAGATAAGCAATGAATCATATCCCTCAATTGGCAAGGAAGAGTCAGAAAGGCCCTGAAGACGTTTGGAAGATGTTGCAGACAGACACAACCTTGGCACAGTGGGAAGAGTATGGGCTTTAGGGTCAGGCAGCATTTTCTCCCAGTCCCTGTACTTGACAATTTACAAACTGGTGACCTTGGGCAAGTTGCTTAACTTTTCTGGACCTTAGTTTTCACAAGTTTAACATGTGGATAATTAGAAGGACATATAATACATTTTGTGAATCAAGGTTCTTCAAAGAGTGAAATAGGGGAGAGGGGTACTGTTAATAATTAAACCAGCACAACAGGATTAACCAAGACTGTGAGACAGAGGCAAGCCAGGATGTATGGCCATCCTATCAGGATAATTAAAAATCGGTGCCTACACTGACAACACTAAATGCTGGTAAGGATGTGGAACAACAGAAACTCTCATTCATTGCTGATGGGAATGCAAAATGGTGCAGTCACTTTGGAAGACAGTTTGGCAGTTTCTTGCAAAAGTAAACACAATTTTACCTGAAGATCCAGCAATTGTGCCCTTTGGTATTTACCCAAATAAATTGAAAGCTTATGTCCATATAAAAATATGCACATTGATGTTTATAGTAGCTTCATTCATAATTGCCAAAACTTAGAAACAACTAAGATGTCCTTCAGTAGATGGGTGGGTAAACTTTGGTACATCCAGACAACAGAAGATTATTCAGCATTAAAAAGAAATGAGGTATCAAGCCATAGGAAGACATGGAAGAAACTTAAATTCATATTACTCAGTGAAAGAAACCAATCTGTAAGAGCTACATGCTGTATGAATCCAAATATATGACATTCTGGGGAAAGATGAAACTATGGAGACAGTAAAAACATCAGTAGTTGCCAGGGATTAAAAGCCAGGAAACAATGAGTAGGCAGAGCACATGCATTTTTTAGGACAGTGAAACTACTCTGTATGATCCTATAATAGTAATTACATGTCATTATAAATTTGGCCAACCCCGTAGAATGTACAATACCAAGAGTGAACACTAACGTAAACTATGGACTTCCAGTGATTATGTGTCAATGTAGGCTCATCAATTGTAACAAATGTACCATTTTGGTGGAGGATGTTGATAGTGGGGAAGGTTGTACATATGTAGGGGGAGGGAGTATATATATATACCTTCTGCTCAATTTTGCTGTGAACCCAAAATCACTCCAAGAAATAACATCTATTAATTTTTAAAAAGGAAGAAAGAAAAAAGTAAATGCCTAATACCATGAAGTTGCTGTGACAACTAATATAAACAAAATACATAAACACTTAGCATATAGTCGACACTAAATAAAAATTAGTCTTTCTGTTTCTTTCCCTCTCTTTTGACCATGAAAAACACAAATAAGAACACAATTTTAGTACTTGTAACGATGAAGAGATTATGTAACATGTAACAGTATTTATAACTCAGTCTATTTGCCCATTAAAATATTATAAATTAGAATCTATTTTAACAATGTATACTCTACAATCCACAAATTTAATCACGTTTGTTGAATGAGTGACTGAATAAATAAATAAGTCACAAACTCTTCTCTTTTCTACAACACTCTTTTTGCACTTGACTGCTGTTCTTCGTGTATTAGTGGACAGAGGACAGGACCTTGATGTCTGAATTTACCAGCTACATGAGCTTGGGAAAGTCACTTAAACTCTTTGTACCTCAATTTTGTCATTTGTCAAACCAGCAATCATTAAACTCTTTGAGATAATGGCTGGGGAATACATAGTACTTTGCTTAACATATAACTACCTAATAACATTACCTTCCTTCTTTCTTCTATCCTTATGATGTTTCCATTTGACCCCTAAAATTTTGTCTTCTAAATATAAGAATTTTTTTAGAGGTTTCTGGTACATGCAAATTGCCCCTGGTTATCACACATTGTTTTTCAGGTAAACTGGTTAATCACTAACTATCAAAAGTAATAAATTCCAGCTACGTTTCAGAAAGTTAATTGTAAAAATATGGATGTAGGAATTCTGACATAATCTTGGAATTCATTGATAAAAACCCAGGATTTCCCATATCTACCAGTAAGCAGAAGAGGGAGCTCTAAGCCTGGAATTCAAACTCCAGCTTTCTTAAAGCTAAAACTTGATCAAATTTTTGAACCTGTATAAACAAACTCTAAACCAAAAATATCTAAACTATATAAATTCAAGAAGACAGCAAAAAATTCTGATCCATCATCCAAGGATTTAAATATGGAATAATTTATCTTTTGTCCCAAACTCAATATAAACTCCTTTAATGCCATTAACATGAAATGCTTGCTTTCGAGGCATGTTTATTTTTAAAAGTCCACTGATATATTTAAATACATACAAGTATTTGTAAGTTTTTCCTATGTATGATAATATAGCCTTTTTGTGTATAAAAATGTTTGAGAATTTGTAAAGAATGGGGTCATTTTTCCCTTTGTTACAACTTTCTTCTAGTCTAATTCTCTGTGTTGCTAAAATTTACAGACACATTCCTAAGGCTATACAAATGTCGAATCTCTATGATTCTTGGCAGAATTAGTCTTTTATCCATTTACGGTCAAATCTGACTGATTCTTATTGTTTTTAATAGCTATATCTATATTTATCTTTCTCCTTCTCTCTCTCTCTCTCTCTAATTTTATCAGTTCAGACCTCACAATCTATATATTAGTAATTTTTCAGACATTACCAGAAACTATGAAAACCATAATTATTTCACAACTTAATTCCAGCATAGTTACATACAAAAGAGAAGGAGTAAAGGGTTAGAGCATGTACTACTTCAGTCAATTACATTATCTGAAGCACCAAGAAGAGAAAAAATTCATCTCCATTCAATCAATATTATGGCTTAATCACATTTTCTATAAGGATGTAAAAATGAGGGACTGGGGATTTGAAAATGGCTCTGTCACTATCTCTGTGACACTTGAAACATAGAATTTTGCTTAACTTTTTAATGAGAAGAATAATTACTATTATACAAGGCTGTTGGGCAGATTAAATGAGATAATATATGTGTACAAGTTTCTTACACAGTGCCTGTAACACAGCTGCTCAATATAAATGACTGTCTTCTTTTCTAATTTTATAAAGCCTCTATCATTAAAGTTTGCGCTTTAATACAAACCAGGCTGGGTGCGGTGGCTCACGCCTGTAATCCCAGCACTTTGGGAGGCCAAGGCGGGCAGATCATGAGGTCAGGAGTTCGAGACCAGCCTGGCCAACATGGTGACACCCCATCTCTACTAAAAATATAAAAATAACTCAGGGGTGGTGGCACGTGCCTGTAGTCCCAGCTACTCGGGAGGCTGAGGTAGGAGAATTGCTTGAACCCGGGAGGCAGAGGTTGCAGTGAGCCGAGATCACGCCACTGCACTCCAGCCTGGGCAACAGAGCAAGACTCCATCTCGAAAAATAAATAAATAAATAATAAAAAAATATACAAACCACATACAGAAAACTATCAGAAGATTTCCACATTAAGGCTTTCTCATACATAGATTGATGGTTGATTATATAATGATAGCACCAAGGCAATGTCAAATGCTAACAAAACCTAAAACTTTTTGGAGCACTAACTGCCTATCAGGCATTGTATAGCACAGGCTATAGTTAATTTAATCTTCATTATTATCCTTCAATATACGTCCTGTTATTGTCTTCCACTTACCCATGAAGGCATGGAGAGGCTACTTAATTGTCTCAAAACCTCACAGCTACTGCTCAACAAAGCAAATGTGTTTGACCACAAAACTAGAATTCTTAACCATTGCCCCTCACTGCTCAAGAATCTTCTGAAACAGAAGGTTCGTGTACACATGATTTGCATAAGATTTCAACTCTCCATACATTTTAACAAGCTCCTAAGCAAATTTATTGTGTCTATGTTCCAACCCTGCTAATCTGACTAATCTATACATCACAATCTCCAGCCCCATTATTTTAGATAGATTCCTATACCATTACCTACTACGATTTTGTCCTACAAAACAGAAAATCTAGTAAGTAGAAGTAAATTAATAGTAAAGTTCTAAATGTATTGACACTGATACAGCATATTAATGTATAAATGAGCAAATATATCCTTTTCATTCTTTAATGCTTAAAATTCAACAGACATTACTTGCAAAAACGTTCATTCTGTTTGAATAATACTGAAAATGAAATTATGTTGACCAGTGATCACTTCCCTAAAACCAACCATCATTAACTCTAGCAATTTGCTCCTTACTCTTATCAAGAATAACCTAGTAACTACCTCCAAAGCAGCTAATTTATTTCATTTATTCTCTAAAAATAATTATACTTTAATGATCTACTTTTCAGGGTAAGATGCTCATTTATTGCAGTGTATCAAAAGCTTTTATGTAACTGAACCATTAGGCTACACCTTATCATATGGTCCTCTTAAAAGTCTGGGCAAAAACAAATACTTTTAATACTGATTTCTATCTACTCCACGCTCGGCTTGAGTTAGTTGTCTGTAAATCAATCCTTCTGACATGTAGGTGTAAATCTCTGTTCTTCACTTCAGGAAAGTTTCCACCACATTTCTGGGCTTTAGTTTTCTTCTAGGTCTTTCCAGTGTGTTGCTCGCCCCTGAAGCCCAGGTTCATAAACATAACTGAATACTGTGCATCATACTGAAATTTTCTGCAGATACCTCAAATTCCCAATGTCTTCCAAAATAAAGATCTCACATCCATTGTCAATCCTCTCTCTCACAATTCCCACATACCTTTCATAATCAAACTCTAAATTCTACCAGTGTTTTGAGTCCATTCTCTTCTTTGTGTTCTTTAATTACAGCTTTTATCATCTCTTAATTTTTTTGTTTGTTTTTACAGTTTCCATGTCCTTATCTTTCTGTACTACATTCTGGTTCGTTTCCTCATCTCTCTCATCTAGTCATTAAATTTATCTTGAGTTCTTTTTGATCTTCTATTTTAACCTCTTCACAAAATTCTTTATTAGATATACTTTTATAGCTATACTTTCTAGTTGGTTCTTTTTTCAATCCTCCTGATATTTTTCCAGAATATTCTTGTCATTGATTTATGGCTTCTTTTTTTCCCACCATTTCCTAAAAAATTTTAGACAGACAAGTTTGACAGGTTTTTTTCAAATTCTTCCATCTTGAATTATTGGATGTGAACCTCACACGTATTGCATTTTCTGACATTCTTTTGTAGTGGTTCATTTTTTCATAAGCCTTACAATTTTAAACATGCAGGCCTTTTCAGCAGTGTTATGGAGCTCTCAGGAATGGGGTTATGCTCTTAAGAAGGAGATCCCAGAGAGCTAGCTCCCCACTTCTGGCATGTGAGGACATGGCTAGAAGATGCCATCTGTGAACCAGAAAGCAGGCCCTCACCAGACGCCAAATCTGCCAGTGCACTCATCTTGAACTTCTTAGACTGTAGAATTATGAGAAATAAACTTCTGTTGTTTATAAGTCACTCAATGGAAGATATTTTGTTATAGCAGCTTGAATGGCCCAAGACAGAGTTGTTTTCATGAGCTAAGAGTGTGAAGGGGCTTCTTATTGGAAGCATTTCTACACAGTAGCTTCTCACTTTTCTCTGCCAAGGTGCTATTGGTTTTGCCAGTTCAGGGCCAATTTTTTAAATTGACATTCTTATTGAGATAATTATAGATTCATGTGCAGTTTTAATAATACTGAGAGATCCTCTGTACCTTTTACCCAGTTTCTCTCAATGGTAACATCTTGCAAAATAATAGTATAGTTTCACAACCAGGATACTAATATTATACAATTCACTGTGTTTGCTAAGATTTCCCCAATTACTATACTCATTGCTGAATGTGTTTTATATATTATTTACATATATATGCTTATATATTTAGTTTTTAAATTGTATCTATTACATTTAGGTCTATTTTAAGTTTTGTAGGAAGTGTGAGGTTTAGGTAGAGATTTATTTTTTGTCTGTGGATAGTCAATTGCTCCAACACCATTTGTTGAAAGGGCCATCCTTCCTTCACTTAATTGTTTTTGCATCTTTGTCAAAAACAAGTTAAGCACATTTGTGTGAGTCGTTTTGTGGTTTCTCCACTCCCTTCTATTGATCTCTGTCTGTCCCTCTGGCAACTCACTGTCTTGATTACTGTAGCTCTATAGTGAGCATAATCGTTAGATTGGGTGAGTCCTCCTACATATTCTTTGTAAAGATTATTTTAGCTATTCTAGGCCCTGCACCTCTCCATATAACTTTTAGAATATACTTGTATGTGCCTAAAAAATATGTCACTGTAAAATGTAAAACCCAAGACTATAAAATCCCCCAAAGACAACCTACGCAATATCATTCTGGACTCAGGAGAGGGCAAAGAACGAAGACGGCAAAAGCAATTGCAACAAAAGCAAAAATTGACAAGTGGAATCTAATTAAAGATTCCCAGCACAAAAAGGAAGCTATCAACAGAGTGAACAGACAACCTACAGAATGGGAGAATATTTTTGCAAACTGTGCACCTGACAAAGGTCTAGTATCCAACATCTATAAGGAACTTAAACAAATTTATGAGAAAAACATAAAAAACTCCATTAAAAAATGGGCAAAGGATATGAACAGACCACTTTTCCAAAGGGGACATACATGTGGCAAACAATCACATGAGAAAAAAAGCTCAGCATCACTGATCACTGGAGAAATGCGAATCAAAACCACATGAGATACCATCTCACACCAAATTGGCTATTATTAAAAAGTCAAAAAATAACAGATGCTGGCAAGGTTGTGGAGAAAAAGGAATACTTATACACTGTTGGTGGGAGCGTAAATTAGTTCAACCATTGTGGAAGACAATATGGTGATTCCTCAAAGACCTAAAGAGAGAAATACCATTCAACCTAGCAATCCCATTACTGGGTATATACCCAAGGAAATATAAATTATTATAAAGACATAAGTACTTGTATGTTCATTGCAGCACTATTTACAATAACAAAGACATGAAATCAACATAAATGCCCATCAATGACAGACTGGATTAAAAAATGTGGTGCATATATACATAAAATACTATGCAGCCATAAAAAAGAATGAGATCATGCTCTTTGTAGTGATGTGGATGAAGCTTGAGGCCACTATCCTTCACAAACTAACACAGACACAGAAAACCAAATACTGCATATTCTCACTTATAAGTGGGAGCTAAATGATGAGAACACATGGAGACATATAGGGGAACAACACACACTGGGGCCTGTTGGAGGGTGGAAGATGGGAGGAGGAGAAGAATCAGAAAAAATAACTAATAGGTAGTATGCTTAATACCTGGGCAATGAAATAATCTGTACAACAAACCTTCATGACACAAGTTTACCTATACAACAAACCTGCACATGTACCCCTGAACTTAAAGTAGAAGTTAAAAAATAAATAAATAAAATTTAAAAATACAATAATGTCACTAGAATTTTTATTGAAATTGTAATGAATCTGTACACGGATTTGAAGAAAACTGCCATATTTTACTGTGTTGAGCCCTTCAATACACGAATGGAATATGTCCATTATTTAGGTCTTCTTTGAGTCCTTTCATTAACATTTTTAAAAATTTCCATCATATAGATACTTTACATGTTTCATTAAGTATATACCTAAGTATTTAGTTTTCTCTTGGGTGATTATACATGTTGTTTTTATTTTTTTCTGTATCTTCATGCATGTGGAAATTCCATTAATTTTTGGGTGTTTTTTTTGTATCCTACAACCTTGTTGAACTCACTTGTTAATTGTAGCAGGGATTTTTTGATGTTTTGTAGATTCATTGGTATTTTCTACATGGACAATTATTTTATCTTCATAAAGATAGAAACCACTTTATTTCTTCATTTCTAATCTATATGCATTTTATCTGTTTCTTGTTTTGTTATTGTGTCTGGAATTTCCATTACTATTTTGAATTAAGAGTGAGAATAAAGGAAACCTTTGCCTTGTTTCCCATGTTATTCAGTCTTTGAAATTAAGTGTGAAGTTAGGTATGGGTATTTTTGTATGTATACCTTAACAAATTGAGGTAATTTCCTTCTAAACCTAATAGTTAGATTTTTTTTTATCATGAACAACTGTTAGATTTGACCAAAATTAATTTTCTGTGAATTGATGTGATCATATTTTTCTTCTCCAGTCTGTTAGTATGGTAGACTGCACTGATTGATTTTCAAATGTTGAACTAACCTTGTATACCCAGAACAAATTCCACTTGATCATGGTATGTAATTTTTCATACATTGTTAAATGCAGTTTGCTAATATTTTGCTACAGATTTTTGCCTTTAAGTTCACGAGAGTTGTTTGTCTGCAGTTTGCTTTCACTTTTTTTATTGTACTTGGCTAGTTTTGGTATCAGAATAATACTGACCTCATAAAATAAGTTGGTTAAGTATACCCTCCTTCTCTGAAAAATATTGTGTAAAATTGATATTCATTCTTCTTTAAATGTTTGGTGGACTTCACCAGTGAAACCATTTGGACCTGGAGATCTTTTTAAGCTCCTACTTCATTTCTGATATTATTTCTGTTTTTTGCTTTTCATGTATATTAGTTTTGTTATATTTGTTATCTATTTTATTGATTTTTTTGTGAAAAAACAGCTTTTTGTTTCATTAATTTTCGCCACCGTTTTTCTATTTTTAATTTTATTGATTTGTTTTTTACTTTATTTCTTCTGCTTGTTTTGAGTTTATTTTGCTCTTTGTTTTCTAGTTTCTTGAGCCAGAAACCTAAAATACTGATTTGCAAACTTTCCTTACTTCTCACGTAAGCATTTAATGCTATATCCCATAGTTTTTATATGGTGTATTTTCATTTCACGCGTTTTTTTTTTTTCTGTAGCTGTTGTTTGTTTTGACTTGCTCTTTGATCCATGAATATTTGTAAGTGTGTTGTTTATTTTAAAGTGCTTGGAGAGGTTCCTTTTGTCTTTACACTGTTAATTTCTAATTTGATTGTACCATGGTCAGAGAGTACACACTATATGATTTCATGGCCCAGGATATAGTCTATCTTGGTTAGTCTTCTATGGAGGCTTTAAAAATACATTCCAGTATTATAGGGTGAAGTGTTCTGTATGTCAATTACATCTGTTGGTGGATCATATTGTTCAGGTCTTCTATATACTTGATAACTATAATTTTGGATTTGTCTACTTTCTTTTTCAGCTCTATCAATTTTTGCTTCATGTTTCTTTTCCCTTCATATATGTTTTTCTGTGTGTACACAGTTAAGTTTGTTATGATATCATGTAATGTCCATCTTTTTCTCCAGTAATTTTTATTGCTCTGAAGTCTACTTTATGAGATATTAAACCATTCCTTCCTTTTCCATTAATACTGGCACGATATATCTTTTTTCATCTTTTTGCTTTCAACCTACCTATGTCACTGAATATGAAATGTTTTTTACACATAGCATGTAGTTAGGTTCATTTTATGGGCCTAAAATCTTCATAAATTGTGGAAAAAATTAATTAGGACCCAATAGCTGTTTTGCACATCTATTTTTTGAAGGTGACAGTTTTTCATCTATGAAACTGTTGGGAATAAAAATGTTCCTTTCAAGATCTGAGTAGATTTCTCAAAAGAAGATTATACAAATGGCAAACAAGTATAAGAACAGGTGTTCACTATCATTTTTCATCAGAGAAATGCAAATCAAAGCTATGATGAGATATCATCTCACCCCAGTTAAAATGGCTTTTAGCCAAAAGACAGACAATAGTGAATGCTGGTGAGGATGTGGAGAAAAAAGTCCTCATACACTGTTGATGGGAATATAAATGAGTACAACCACTATGGAGAACGGTTTGGATGTTCTTCAAAATCTAAAAAATAGAGCTACCATATGATCTAGGAATCCCACTACTAGGTATACACCCAAAAGAAAGGAAATCAGTGGATCAAAGAGACATCTGCATTCCAGTGATTATTGCAGCACTATTTATAATAGCCAAGTTTGGAAGCAACCTGAGTGTCCATCAACAGATGAACGGATAAAGAAAATGTGGTACATAGTACAATGGAGTACTATTCAGCCATTAAAAAGAATGAGATCCTGTCATTTTCAACAACATGGATGGAATGGGAGGACACTATGTTAAGTAAAATAAGCCAGGTGCAGAAAGATAAACTTCACGTTCTCACTTATTTGTAGACGGCAAAAATTAAAACAATTTACCCTGATTTGATTATTATGCATTGTATGCCTGTATTACAATATCTCATGTACTCCATAAATATATACACCTACTATGTACCCACAAAAATTTAAAATTAAACAATTCAAAAATAATAATAATATAATTAAATAATTAAATAATATTTTCATATCCGCAAGGCCAGAGGATATTTTCTGAATTCCAGCCAATATGTCCGACTAGAAGCAGCTAGTGCATGCTGCTGTCCCAGAGAGAAAAAAGACTGCTGAGTAAACATTAGCTCTTCAACTAGATCATCCAGGTGGACACATTGGGCTCATCAGGGAAGCAACATGACTCACAGAGAATGGAGGAGAGCAGCAGGACAATCATCCACCTGGGAGTGGTGCAGAGCCAAGGCAGGCCCCCCACCCCTGAGAAACAGTGAGTGAGCATCCCTGGGGATTCACACTTCTGCCATGGACTTTTATGACCCTAGGCTTGGAAGAACCCCAGTGACTACCACCTCCCCACCCCCTCAGGCCTTCAGACTGACAGGGAGAGCTACATGGAGTCTGGACAGAGCCACCACTCAGGCACATGAGAAGTCTTTGGAGCCTTGGATCCCTGGGCATCCTGGCACCAGCAGCTGCAGCTCTGGAGCCAGGGGAGGCCAGGCTCCCTCATACAACCCCTGGACAGGGGCTGAATCCATGGGGCTGAGCAGCAGATAGACTATAGGCCTAGCCTCCACTGTACTTCATCAGGTAAGGCCCAGTGGCCTGGGACTCTACTGTGGCCACCCCAGCCCTGCCTCAGCTTTCTGGCCAGAAGCAGCTCTGCATTTCCCTGGGATGGATCTCCCAGACGTAGCAGTCAGGGTGCCTTTTTTTCTGCTCCACAGCCCTAACTCCTGTTACCCTCAGGCTCTAGAAGGAACGCAGTGATTAGAGACTAATATGGGTTCCCAGCACAGAGCAGCTGCCTTACAGAAAAGTGGCCAGACTGCTTTACATGCGGGTCCCCACCCCACTACTCCTCAATGGACAGGGTCTCTTGACCTGGGCCCCTCATCACAACCACCTTGCCCTAGCCTGAACATTTCAGTTGGTGGCAGCTCTGTGTTTCTCTGGGGAGGAAATCCCAGAGACAGCCCACAGTCCTCTGCCTTTGCAGCTGCGGTGACTGCCTTTATTGCCCTCAAGCTGGGGAGAGAACTAAGAGCCTGGTCATTATGCTGGCACCTCCAGCATGCCACAGCCACTGTGTGGAAAGAAACCCAGTCTTTCTTCTCTGTGAGTCCCCAGCCCCCACTTGATATGAATCATTCTACCATAAAGACAACATATGTGTGTATTCATCGCAGCACTACTCACAATAGCAAAGACATGGAATCAACCTAAATGCCCATCAACAGTAGACTGGATAAAGAAAATGTGGCATATATACACCATGGAATACTATACAGTCATAAAAGAAGAATATGATCATGTCCTTTGCAGCAACATGGATGGAGTCGGAGGCCGTTATCCTAAGGAAACTAACGCAGGAACAGAAAACCAAATACTGCATGTTCTTACTTATAAGTGGGTGCTAAACATTGAGAACCCATGGGCACTAAGAAAGGAACAAGAGACACTAGGATGTACTTGAAGGTAGAGGATGGGAGGAGGAAGAGAACTGAAAAGCTACCTATTGGGTATTATGCTTATTACCTGGATGACAAAATAATCTGTACACCAAATCCTCATGACATGCAATTTACCTGTATAACAAACCTACACATGTACATTTGAACCTAAAATAAAAGTTTACAAAAATAAATTAAATTAAATTAATGGACACAAGATGAATCATTCAATAAATATTTCTAGAAAAAAATATTTTCTGGCCTTATTCTTACAGCTTGAGCAGCCTTAATAGCTTCTAGCTTTATAGAGATAGCTTAATTTTGACTATGTGCACGTCTTGAAGCTTAGCTTCTTCATCTCTTTATTGCCTATTATTACACCAATAATATATAATAAATAATATTATTACACCAATAATATGTAATATAGCAGAGCTGAAAGAAATCCATAAGTGAAAACCAATGATGCATACCACATGGTTCATGTACTCTGAATCTTGAAGATTGCACACCAGACTCTTACCAGGAAAATCTGCTATATCTGTGACATTAGAAGACCTGAGGACTGGAGGTCAGCCATTAGAATCAGTTGCTATTATGAAAATGTCTTGAGGACAGAGACCATACCTTAGTACCTCCAATGCATGCAACATTTATGTTATTAAAGGTGAGGATAAAAGAAATGGATAGGACAGTTCATTCAGTCTTTTCTTTTTCTCCAAGAATAACAATGTTCTCTTTCATCCAAAGCTCCTGCTGAAAGCATCCAATTTATTTGTTTGCTTATTCATTCATTCATGCTTTCCTTCAATAAATATTATATGATTAGGATTCCTACCTTAGGCAGGCACTGTCCTATGGACCTGAGACAGAGAAAGAGCAAAGCAAAAAACATCCGTGCTTAGGTAACATGCCCATGTCCTCTTCCTTAGAAGTAAAGTCTCCTGAAGTGTAAGTTGAACACATTAGGACTTTAATTTCTCTGTTTTTGCTTTTGATTAATGCAAACCCTACTAGTTGATCAAAGAATTCAACTAACTTTCAAACATCTTAAATATCTCTTAGGTTAAAGGTCAAGATCCTCAGTCAAAAGAACAAGGAAGAATTATGGTCTTTAAAACTTTGAACTCTGTGATATAATCTTAAGTTATCATGTTCAAACTTTCTAAGTGACAAAAACAGCAAACTTGGGAAATAGCTATAGAAGGAGAGAACCAGATTTGGGAAATGCAAAACTGGCTGGCCTTCTTTACAAAGAAAAGCAACTTGAGAGTGAGTCACATTTGAATACCCAGTAGCCAATATAGACAAATTCATATAATATAAAAAGGCATCATTTTCTATCCCTGAACTACAATAATAATACTTCCACACAAATTTGAACTAGAGCAATTGATTAACTTGCTAATTCTTTATTCCCAGGTGACAATAAATGGCCCTTATCCTGCCCAAGGATGGAATAGGTTATAGGGTGAACATAAATGGTTGAAAGTTATTGGAGAATAGATGTGCTGCCAGATTACCATTTACAGAACTGACTCACTATGTTTCTTAGACATCCTGGGTAGGTTCCCTATTTATCACATGGGGTTCATAGAACTTGTAGGTAAAAATAGATGAACCCTCACGTAAAATTTAGTACATGGCATCTAACACTCAAACAGTAATCATATTAGTATCCAAATTGGAATTGACTTTGTGACAGATTTCAAATAGCAGAGTCCTGCAAAGCAATTGCAACATGTCTATGCATTCCTAGCAAATCTGAAAGCACATTCAAAATACTGATGCATCTGGTTTTCCCTCAGGCGACAGCTGCAGCTGCTCAAGTTTGCTGGAGAGTCTGAAGTGACAGCCCCCTCCTGGCTGGCAGCATCACTCTCATTCAGAAGAGAGATCACAGAGCCTAGATCATTTCTGCCTTTGATGTGCATCTCCTAGACGTCAGCAGGAGACTAGACGGCTTGTCAGGAATGAGATTAGAAACCTGCAAAGCAAGAACCTTTTCCTAAGATTTTTCAACTATCCCTGTTGTTACTGGACAGACTCAGGAAAGAGAGAAAAATGCATCTGAAATCTCTACCTTCTAAGGCTTTCGTTGAGAAGAAAAAAGCAAGCCCAAATGTATGAGCCTTTGTGCTGAAATCTATGTGAAAGAAAGAAAAAGATAAGAAAAGCAAAGAAAGAGAGAAAAAAGAAAAAGGAAGGAAGGAGAAAGAGAAAGAAAGAGAGAGAAAGAAAGAAAGCAAGCAAGCAAGCAAGAAAGAAAGAAAGAAAAAAGAAAAAAAAGAAAAAAAAAGAAAGAAAAGTGAGATTGTATCTTAAATGGCTCCAGGGTGGGGCAGGAGGAGTTTAAGAAAACATAAGCAGGCTACACTTTTCCCTTTTTTTTTCAGCGACTTTTTTCTACACAGGATTTCCTGATCACATCATGAGGAACTATGTAAATATGCCCTCTTTGACTCAGTGGAAATAATCATTTCCTGTCAAGTTATTTCAAGGAAGGAAAAAGACCCCCAAACAGCCAAAACCAGAAAAGTACAAATTGTCAAATGAAATTTCATAAGGGACAGTTTTCAAGTGAGTCAAGCATTATTCTGTAATTCGTTCTTAACTTGGTTGCCTTTGTTTTGTATTGTTTTGTTGGTCAAATACATTACTTACATTGCGAAATACCCTGGCATCTCATCTTGTAATCATTGCTCAAAATAAAGTTCACTTCTTGAAAGGTTTGGAATTTATACCAAGCCTGTAGTGATTTATAGTTCAAAAACACTTCCTCTTTCTCTCCATTCTCATCCTCACACTGTTTTGTTTATTGTGAAAGTGGTAGATACAGGTGTGAGTGTCCAGCTTACGACAGGAAAATTTTTCCACACTAGAACAAAACAAAATTAACCCATGGAAATAGATTGATCATTTGCCTTTTCATCTAGACAATTATCTTTCTGTCTTTCTCTCTTACTCTATCACTAACTTACAACATTTAATACTTTTATATCTGTGCTATTCAAATCTTTTGAGCAGTAGCCTGAGGGAGTCAGCCATTTCCACCTTCTTGAAGTGTACTTAGTATTTCTTTAGCATATCATTGGCAAACAGAGGTAATTTGACATTCTCTTTTCCTATTCGGATGCCTTTTATTTGTTTCTCTTGCTTGGTTGCTCTGGCTGGGATTTCCAGTACTATGTTAAATAGGAGTGGTGAAAGTGGACATCCTTGTCTTGGACATAAAGATGGAAACAATAGACACTGGGGACTCCAAAAGGGCGGAAGGAGGGAGAGGGACAAAAGTGGAAAAACTACCTACTGGGTACTATGTTCACTATTTGGGGCTCAATAGAAGCCCCAAACTCAGCAGCATGCACTTTACCCATGTAAAAAACCTGCACAAGTACCTCTTGAATCTTAAAAAAAAAAAAAAAAAAAAAATCTAGCCAGGTGTGGTGTGTGGTGGCTCACACCTGTAATCCCAGCACTTTGGGACGCTGCGGCGGGCGGATCACGAGGTCAAGAGATCAAGATCATCCTGGCCAACACGATGAAACCCTGTCTCTACTAAAAATACAAAAATTAGCTGGGCATGGTGGCGTGTGCCTATAGTCCCAGCTACTCAAGGGACTGAGGCAGGGGAATCGCTTGAACCCAGGAGGCAGGGGTTGCAGTGAGCCGAGATTGTATCACTGCACTCCAGCCTGGTGACAGAGTGAGACTCCATCTCAAAAAAAAAAAAAAAAAAAAAAAAAAAAAAATCCTTACAGCTGTTCACGGCTCCCTTAGGCAAATGGTCTCTCTCTCTTTCTCTCTCTGTCTCTCTCTCTTTTCCCATCACATCCTGGGAAGCTGTCTCTTATATTGGCACTCACCTGGATATAAATTATAGAGGCACTTACTCTTCTGTCGTCCCCTGATTTAAAATAAAAAAAGAAAAATAAACAAAGATTCAGGCTAGCTGATATTCCACAGTGTTTTTTTTTTTAAAAAAAAAAAAAGATAGCAGAGAGATTTTTAAAAAACATCTTTGAAGAATATTCATTCATAGCCTGGCTAGCAAAAATGAGAAGCTAGAGGCTGCATACTTAGTCCTTATACACATTTGCTTGACAGAAAATGTTACAACTGGTATAATATGTAGTGTACTTGTAGGCAACTAAGTTCTTACAAAGCTCCTAATTTAGAACAGCATTTCTCAGTGTTTTGTTAAACAATAGCACCCCTAGATACATTACAATAGAGAGAGAAGAGGCTCTTGTCAAGAAAATTTAAACTGCTTTATACCATGTACATACATCTCTTGGAGATTTATAACGTACATTCGGGTAGGAAAAACAATACTAGAAAAGCCACCTTAATTCTTTTTAACCACATTTTTCCCAAAGTTGACAATGAAATTCTTTTTAAACATAATTCTTACTAATATTCTACAGAACCTGTGTTTTATTAAACTCCCCTTTAGGAATCACAAATTTAGAGCATATCTAAACTGCACTAGAAGAAAAGAGTCTAATCAGATTAAAAGCATTTGGCATTCATTTCTAAGATTATAAATTATGTATATTTTTCCCAATTAATCTAATCCCCTTGGCTTGCTATAATGCTTGCTACTACTTTAAAGTAAATGATATCCAGCGGCTTTATTGTTCTTCCACACATATTCTTCCACTGAAGTAACTGAATGATTCCACCACCACAGGTGATCCAAAACATAAGGTGTATGCCTTATCAGAGAATGAGACACCAAAAACTAGCTCACTCTCGTTGAACTGTTGAAGTCAACTGTACATCAACTATTTGAAAAATGGAAAAACTAGAGCAAATTCTTTGGAGACATAAACAAACTTTGCTAGTTTGCTTACTCATCCTTAGGCCTGTCCTCATACCTCAGCCCTTTTCCAATTCACCTCACACCAATCATATAGTCATTTCTTTCTTCAGCAGGCAGTAGGTTTATAGATTAAATGATGCTTGGTATTAAAATATCTGGAGGCTGTCACCCACCCACAGAGATTATTGAGGCAGGATCCTTTACCTCAATGAGCTTAAAAACTAGAAGCAGAGAAAATGCATAAACAATGAATGGAGTAATACCCATTATGGTAGGAGTTTCTAGGAAGTTCTCTGCAAGCCCGGTGGAAAGTGGCTCAGTGCTATGAACTGAATGTTTGTGTCTCCCCAAACTTCACATGTTGATATCCTAACCCCTAGTGCAACGATATTAAGAGGTGGGGTGGGAGATAATTTAGATCATGAAGGTACAGCCCTAAAACAATGGGATTTGTGCCTTTCTAAAAGGGACTCCAGAGTACTCTCTTGCTCTCTTTCTGCCTGAGGAACCAAGGAGAAGTCAGTCTGCAGCCTGGAACAGGGCCCTCAGCAGACCCTGACTATGTGGGCACACTGATTTCAGACTTCTGGTCTCTAGAACTGGGAGGAGTAAATTTCTGTTGTTTATAAACCACCCAATCTACGATATTTTATTACAGCAACCCTAATTGACTAAGATTCTCAACCTCGGCCAGGCGCGGTGGCTCATGCCTGTAATCCCAGCACTTTGGGAGGCCGAGGCGGGTGGATCACGAGGTCAGGAGATCGAGACCATCCTGGCTAACACTGTGAAACCCCGTCTCTACTAAAAATACAAAAAAAATAGCTGGGCGTGGTAGCAGGCGCCTGTAGTCCCAGCTACTCGGGAGGCTGAGGAAGGAGAATGGCGTGAACCCGGGAGGCGGAGCTTGCAGTGAGCCGAGATGGCGCCACTGGACTCCAACCTGGGGGACAGAGCCAGACTCCGTCTCAAAAAAAAAAAAAAAAGGATTCTCAGCTTCAGCCTCAGGGAGGTCCAGAAGGTTCACAAGGAGGTGAAATTAGATGTGGATCTTGAAGAATGAGTAAGAGTCTACCAAACAGAATATAGGAAGAAGGCTCCAGACAATGCAAACTGCGTATTGCACACAGAGGTATCAAACACAATTGTGCATTTGGAGCTTTCCGCATGGTTGAAATGGAGAGTACATGTTAAAACTGGCAGGTGATGAGACTGGAAAGGTAAGCTGGGGGCAGCCGATGAGGAACATCCCTTTGCAAGTTAAGCAATTCAGACTTTCCAGGGGAGGTAAGAGCCACAGGAAACCTTTAACCAGAAAACTGACATGAGGATGCTGTCCATCTTCTTTAAATTGTTTGTAAAGGGTTTCCCTTAGTTTATCTTTTTAGAATCTTAAATCAGACTTATTGCCTCTGACTCCCGTCTTACATTCTCTAATGCACACAGCAGAAACAGAAATTTTAAAAAGTCGCTAATCCATGTCTCCAATGAGAAAACTACTCTTGATTAAAGCTCTTACATAAGAATTGCTGCTCTGTTTTACTCTTAAAGTAATATACTTCTCTCGACACTTTTTGTTTTTTGTGGGAGTTACTAGTAAGGTACAGCTTCATCTACTAAAATTTTACTTTAATACCCCGAACCTTGTTGCTAGCAGTAGGGGCTGGAACTCCTCATATCCTTCTATGACAAAACAGCCTTGGTGACATTAGAAAGACACAAAATCTACCCTGGCATAAGGTACCTCCAATAGGTTTAAGCCAAAATATAAACCAATTTTGTGACACAGAAACCTAAAGAGGCTAGTACCTTGGAAACTCTTTTTCTATTTTTTCAGGCCAAGGCTGAACTTTTAGAATATTACATAGTTCTAGGGCAAACAGATTCTAGTCTGCAAAATTGCTGGTGGGTCCAAAAAAACCAGACAGGTTTAAGCTTGTTGTTGTAAGAAAAACATGTTACACAGTCCCTAAATACAGCCTAAAGCCTGTGGAAATAATATGGGAGTGCTGGGAAGGGAAGAGCGTGGTCCCTTTAAATAATACGGAAGTGGGGAAGGGAAGTGCTGGCTAGAGGAGGGCATGGTCCCTGGGTAGGGCTCCACCCCCATGGACCTAAGTAAGGATGGGCACTCCTGCCTTCGCGCCCAAATGTTGCATTTCCCAAGACCATCCTGGCCTGCCACACCCCCATCCTGTGCCCCTAAACGCCCCCCGAGACGCTAGCAGGCAGACACACAGGAGGCCAGACGTCAAGAGCAGCACATTGGCAGAAGAAGATTCAAGAGGCAGGTTGTCTAGAGTGGGCATCCAGAAGAACACACTTGTCAGCACCAGCATGCAGTCAGGCCATCCACCAGTGGGATGAGGCAGAGTTTGGCCAGGGCAGTCAGAGGAGAGCTGGGGCCCAACTCCACAGGAAGACCATCTCCCTTGTGGATCCCCCATTGGCTAAGAGCTACTTCCACTCAATAAAACTTTACACTCATTCTCCAAGCCCACAAGTGATCCGATTCTACCCGTACACTAAGGCAAGAACCCCAGGATCAGAAATCCTTCTGTCCTTGTGATAAGGAGGGGGGTCTAATTGAGCCGGTTAACACAAGCTGCCTATAGATTGGCAAACTAAGAGAGCATCCTGCAACACACGCCCCCTGGGGCTTCAGAAGCCGTAAACATTCACCCCTACACACTGCTGTGGGGTCGGAGCCCCACACCCTACCTGCCTGTATGTTCCCCTAGAGGTTTGAGCGGTCGGGGAGGGAAGAAGCGAGCCACATCCCCATCACATACCCTGCGAGGGGGACAAGGGAATCTTTCATGTTTCAGAAAGAAGGACTGAAAGGACTGCAGAAGATAAAGCTGACATTTAGCTTGTTGTCTGTTGCTTCCTGTTATACCCAGACAAATAATAATCTTCTTAGTTCATTCATTGACCATCTGTGAAATGGGAGTGAGAGTACTGCCTTCTTCACAGGCTGCATGTTAGAGCTTAAATAAGATAATATGCTCAAGGAAAAGACCTCTGGAAACAATAAGTGCTTTACAAGTTTTAGTTGTTCTTACTGAATAACTAAATGTATGCCTCAGCTCTTTTAAACCCTGGCTTAATCATTGAACCATATACCCTCTGATGTCACCTCACAAATTTGTGTGCATATCTTTCTTATATGAAAAGTCCCAATTCCAGAATTTCTATCTGGTTCACCATATTTTAGGGCCAAGGTATTTCTTGCCTTCATATTCAAGCACTAAGAGAAAAGTTTTCAGTGAGGTAGTTAAAGTTACAGATCTACTCATTTTCTATTTTTATCTCAAAGTTTTTTTCTACCCATGGTTCTCTGTGTTTTTCCTTTCCCCTAAGATCTTCCTACTAACTTTCAGAAGTGTCTGTCTTCTGGGCATTTCACACCTTACTGACACTTTCTTTTGCATTCCTCTTAACATTGCTTTTCTTTCCTCTCACTGAGCAGAGGGTCCCTTCAAACAAGGATTCTGTTGATTTTCTTCCTTCCTTGAGAAAATCCATCTGTTTCAGGTCTTTTGCTTTCTTTTTCGGTGAATGATTTACTCACTGACCCCCGGCTGCACCAAATCCCACATTTCTTCCTGTTTTCTGATGGTGACATACTCTAAGCCACCCTCTCAGTTGAAAAGCATGAACACTCAAGTGTCTGTTTCCTCTTAAGTTTTCACCAGTCACAAAAAGGACCCCTCTCAATTGCACTAGCTCTGCAGAATTACCTCTCCTTTCTCTTCTGTCTTCTAGGAGCTTTTGTTTCCTTATCACATTTAATCAGTTACCATATTTGGTTGTTATTTCATCTGTATTACCTCGGAGGTCTGCCTCTTCCTCTCAATGCGCAGAGGAATACCTGAATCAGATTTTCTCATATTTGACTTAATAGTCTCTCATTTTCTGATGAGCCACGAGTCCTCATTTTCAAGGTTTCCAATTTTTTTTTAGTTATCCCTATCAGCTTTTCTACCTTCTTATTTGTTCACATTTTCCTGCAGCCTTTCTTTTCATTCTGCAGTCAGTTCCCAGTTATTTATTTGTACGTGGTTTGGAGATCTCTCTCCAAAGCAATCTGCAAACACTATCTGTCTTCTTCATACCCTTTTCCTTTACAATCTCACTGAGAGAACTTTCTCCCACTATGTCATACCTAACTCAATTTGTAGCGTGAAGATAACATCAATGTTTGTAATTCCACAGCTAAGATTGGGTTAGATCAATGATGTCCAGTAAAACTTTCTCAATGATGCAGATGTCTCATATTTGTGCTCTTCAATATGGTAGGCACTGGACACTTGAAATGTGGCTATTGCATCTGGGGAACTGAATTTTTAATTTTCATTAATTTAAATTTAAATAGCTGTATGTGGCTAGTGGATACTCCACTGGACAACAAAGTATAAGTCTAGGCCCAAGAATATCAAATTATACTGTAAGAATTGAGCCCATTGTACATAATATAAACTTTTCAAAGGACCTAGGAAAATATATGAGATCTGAAAACAATATTATTGCAAAATTTAAACAAGCCTCAGATTCACAAATAATAAATATTTTGATATAATATAATTAAATATTATTAAGTATGTTCTGTCAGTTTTAAATATTTTTAATATATTTTTTTGAGGCAGAGTCTCATTCTGTCTCCCTAGAGTGCATTGGTGTGATCTCAGCTCACTGCAGCCTCGACCTCCTGGGTTCCAGCAATTCTCATGCCTTAGCCTCCTGAGTAGCTGGGATTACAGGCATGGCCCACCATGCCCCAGCTATTTATTTTATTTTATTTTATTATTTTTAGTAGACGTGTGGTTTCGCTATGTTGACCAGGCTGGTCTCGAACTCCTGACCTCAAGTGATCTGCCCACCTCAGCCTCCCAAAGTGCTGGGATTACAGGCACAAGCCACCATTCCTGGTCATATTTTTAATTTAAAAAAATGAACAAATTGCATTGTTTCCAAATAATTTGTTGGTTATATTTTTCCTTTTCTGAAGAATTTCCAAGTATACAAAATAATTGCTGTCAGGCCTCTGAGCCCAAGCCAAGCCATCACATCCCCTGTGACTTGCACCTATACGCCCAGATGGCCTGAAGTAACTGAAGAATCACAAAAGAAGTGAAAAGGCCCTGCCCCGCCTTAACTGATGACATTCCACCACTGTGATTTGTTCCTGCCCCACCTTAACTGAGTGATTAACCCTGTGAATTTCCTTCTCCTGGCTCAGAAGCTCCCCCACTGAGCACCTTGTGACCCCCACCCCTGCCCACCAGAGAAAAACCCCCTTTGACTATAATTTTCCATTACCTTCCCAAATCCTATAAAACGGCCCCACCCCTATCTCCCTTCACTGACTCTCTTTTCGGACTCAGCCTGCCTGCACCCAGGTGAAATAAACAGCCATGTTGCTCACACAAAGCCTGTTTGGTCGTCTCTTCACATGGACGCGCATGAAATTTGGTGCCGTGACTCGGATTGGGGGACCTCCCTTGGGAGATCAATCCCCTGTCCTCCTGCTCTTTGCTCCATGAGAAAGATCCACCTACAACCTCAGGTCCTCAGACTGACCAGCCCAAGAAACATCTCAACAATTTCAAATCCAGTAAGTGGCCTCTGTTTACTCTCTTCTCCAACCTCCCTCACTATCCCTCAACTTCTTTCTCCTTTCAATCTTGGTGCCACACTTCAATCTCTCCCTTCTCTTAATTTCAATTCCTTTCATTTTCTGGTAGAGACAAAGGAGACACGTTTTCTCCGTGGACCCAAAACTCCGGCGCCAGTCACGGACTGGGAAGGCAGCCTTCCCTTGGTGTTTAATCATTGCAGGGACACCTCTCTGATTATTCACCCACGTTGCAAAGGTGTCAGACCACGCAGGGACACCTGCCTTGGTCCTTCACCCTTAGCGGCAAGTCCCGCTTTTCTGGGGAAGGGGCAAGTACCTCAACCCCTTCTCTCCTTGTCTCTACCCCTTCTCTGCTTTTCTGGGGGAGGGGCAAGTACCCCTCAACCCCTTCTCCTTCACCCTTAGCGGCAAGTCCCGCTTTTCTGGGGGAGGGGCAAGTACCCCTCAACCCCTTCTCCTTCACACTTAGTGGCAAGTCCCTCTTTTCTAGGGGGCAAGAACCCCCAATCCCTTATTTCTGCACCCCGACCTCTTATCTCTGTGCCCCAATCCCTTATTTCTGCACCCCAACCTCTTATCTCTGTGCCCCAATTCCTTATTTCCATGCCCCAACCCTTTCTCTGCTTTTCTGGAGGGCAAGAACCCCCAACCCCTTCTCCGTGTCTCTACTCTTTTCTCTGGGCTTGCCTCCTTCACTATGGGCAAGCTTCCACCTTCCATTCCTCCTTCTTCTCCCTTAGCCTATATTCTTAAGAACTTAAAACCTCTTCAACTCTCACCTTGAGAGGTGACAGCGTGCTGGCAGTCCTCAGAGCCCTCGCTTGCTCTTGGCACCTCCTCTGCCTGGGCTCCCACTTTGGTGGCATTTGAGGAGCCCTTCAGCCCACCACTGCACTGTGGGAGCCCCTTTCTGGGCTGGCCAAGGCTGGAGCCCACTCTCTCAGCTTGCAGGGAGGTGTGGAGGGAGAGGCGCGAGCAGGAACCGGGGCTGCATACGGCGCTTGCGGGCCAGCTGGAGTTCCGGGTGGGCGTGGGCTTGGCAGGCCCCACACTCGGAGCAGTCGGCCAGCCCTGCTGGCCCCGGGCAATGAGGGACTTAGCACCCGGGCCAGCAGCTGCGGAGGGTGTACTGGGTCCCCCAGCAGTGCCAGCCCACCAGTGCTGAGCTCGATTTCTCACCGAGCCTTAGCTGCCTTCCCACGGGGCAGGCCTCGGGACCTGCAGCCCGCCATGCCTGAGCCTTCCCCTGCCTCCGTGGGTTCCTGTGCAGCCCGAGCCTCCCCAGTGAGCGCTGCCCCCTGCTCCACGGTGCCCAGTCCCATCAACCGCCCAAGGGCTGAGGAGTGCGAGTGCATGGCGCAGGACTGGCAGGCAGCTCCACCTGCAGCCCTAGTGCGGGATCCACTGGGTGAAGCCAGCTGGGCTCCTGAGTCTGGTGGGGATGTGGAGAGTCTTTATGTCTAGCTCAGGGATTGTAAACACACCAATCGGCACTCTGTATCTAGCTCAAGGTTTGTAAACACACCAGTCAGCACCCTGTGTCTAGCTCTGGGTCTGTGAGTGCACCAATCCACACTCTCTATCTAGCTACTCTGGTGGGACCTTGGAGAACCTTTATGACTAGCTCAGGGATTGTAAATACACCAATCGGCACTCTGTATCTAGCTCAAAGTTTGTAAACACACCAATCAGCACCCTGTGTTTAGCTCAAGGTTTGTGAGTGCACCAATGGACACTCTGTATCTAGCTGCTCTGGTGGGGCCTTGGAGAACCTGTATGTCAAAACTCTGTATCTAACTAATCTGACCGGGACGTGGAGAACCTTCGTATCTAGCTCAGGGATTGTAAACACACCAATCAACACCCTGTCAAAACAGGCCACTCAGCTCTACCAATCAGCAGGATTTGGGTGGGGCCAGATAAAAGAATAAAAGCAGGCTGCCCGAGCCAGCATTGGCAACCCGCTCGGGTCCCCTTCCACACTGTGGAAGCTTTGTTCTTTCGCTCTTTGCAATAAATCTTGCTGCTGCTCACTCTTTGGGTCCACACTGCTTTTTTGAGCTGTAACACTCACCGCGAAAGTCTGCAGCTTCACTCCTGAAGTCAGCGAGACCACGAGCCCACTGGGAAGAACGAACAACTCCAGACGCCCCGCCTTAAGAACTGTAACACTCACCGCGAAGGTCTGCAGCTTCACTCCTGAGCCAGCGAGACCAAGAACCCACCAAAAGGAAGAAACTCCGAACACATCCAAACATCAGAAGGAACAAACTCCAGATGCGCCACCTTAAGAGCTGTAACACTTACCGTGAGGGTCCGCGGCTTCATTCTTGAAGTCAATGAGACCAAGAACCCACCAATTCCGGACACAACCTGACCTAAAACCTAAATGCCTTATTTTCTTCTGCAATGCCACTTGACCCCAATACAAACTCGACAGTAGTTCCAAATAGCCAGAAAATGGCACTTTCAATTTTTCCATCCTACAAGATCTAAATAATTCTTGTCGTAAAATGGGCAAATGGTCTGAGGTGCCTGACGTCCAGGCATTCTTTTACACATCAGTCCCTTCCTAGTCTCTGTGCCCAGTGCAACTCATCCCAAATCTTCCTTCTTTCCCTCCCGCCTGTCCCCTCAGTCCCAACCCCAAGCATCGCTGAGTCTTTCTAATCTTCCTTTTCTACAGACCCATCTGACCTCTCCCCTCCTCGCCAGGCCGAGCTAGGTCCCAATTCTTCCTCAGCCTCTGCTCCTCCACCCTATAATCTTTTTATCACCTCCCCTCCTCACACCTGGTCCGGCTTACAGTTTCGTTCCGTGACTAGCCCTCCCCCTCCCGCCCAGCAATTTACTCTTAAAAAGGTGGCTGGAGCTAAAGGCATAGTCAAGGTTAATGCTCCTTTTTCTTTATCCCAAATCGGATAGCGTTTAGGCTTTTTTTCATGAAATATAAAAATCCAGCCCAGTTCATGACTTGTTTGGCAGCAACCCTGAGACACTTTACAGCCCTAGACCCTAAAAGGTCAAAAGGCCGTCTTATTCTCAATATACATTTTATTACCCAATCTGCTCCCGACATTAAATAAAACTCCAAAAATTAAATTCTGGCCCTCAAACCCCACAACAGGATTTAATTAACCTCGCCTTCAAGGTGTACAATAATAGAAAAAAGTTGCAATTCCTTGCCTCCACTGTGAGACAAACCCCAGCCACATCTCCAGCACACAAGAACTTCCAAATGCCTGAACGGCAGCGGCCAGGCGTTCCTCCAGAACCTCCTCCCACAGGAGCTTGCTACATGTGCCGGAAATCTGGCCACTGGGCCAAGGAATGCCCGCAGCCCGGGATTCCTCCTAAGCCACATCCCATCTGTGTGGGACCCCACTGAAAATCGGACTGTTCAACTCACCTGGCAGCCACTTCCAGAGCCCCTGGAACTCTGGCCCAAGGCTCTCTGACTGACTCCTTCCCAGATCTTCTCGGCTTAGCGGCTGAAGACTTGACACTGCCCGATCGCCTCGGAAGCCCCCTAGACCATCACAGACGCCGAGCTTCGGGTAACTCTCACAGTGGAAGGTAAGCCTGTCCCCTTCTTAATCAATACGGAGGCTACCCACTCCACATTACCTTCTTTTCAAGGGCCTGTTACCGTTGCTTCCATAACTGTTGTGGGTATTGACGGCCAGGCTTCTAAACCTCTTAAAACTCCCCAACTCTGGTGCCAACTTAGACAATACTCTTTTAAGCATTTCTTTTTAGTTATCCCCATCTGCCCAGTTCCCTTATTAGGCCGAGATATTTTAACCAAATTATCTGCTTCCCTGACTATTCCTGGACTATAGCCTCATCTCATTGCCTCCCTTCTTCCCAATCCAAAGCCTCCTTTGCATCCTCCTCTCGTATCCTCCACCTTAACCCACAAGTATAAGATACCTCTACTCCCTCCTTGGTGACCGATCACACACCCCTTACCATCTCATTAAAACCTAATCACCCTTACCCCACTCAATGCCAACATCCCATCCCACAGCATGCTTTAAAAGGATTAAAGCCTGTTATCACTCGCCTGCTACAGCATGGACTTCTAAAACCTATAAACTCTCCTTACCATTCCCCCATTTTACCTGTCCTAAAACCAGACAAGCCTTACAAGTTAGTTCAGAATCTGCGCCTTATCAACCAAATTGTTTTGCCTATCCACCCCGTGGTGCCAAACCCATATACTCTCCTATCCTCAATACCTCCCTCTACTACCCATTATTCTGTTCTGGATCTCAAACATGCTTTCTTTACTATTCCTTTGCACCCTCAATCCCAGCCTCTCTTTGCCTTCACTTAGACTGACCCTGACACCCATTAGGCTCAGCAAATTACCTGGGCTGTACTGCCGCAAAGCTTCACAGACAGCCCCCATTACTTCAATCAAGCCCAAATTTCTTCCTCATCTGTTACCTATCTCGGCATAATTCTCATAAAAACACACGTGCTCTCCCTGCCTATCGTGTCCAACTGATCTCTCAAACCCAAGCACCTTCTACAAAACAACAACTCTTTTCCTTCCTAGGCATGGTTAGCGCGGTCAGAATTCTTACACAAGAGCCAGGACCGCACCCTGTAGCCTTTCTGTCCAAACAACTTGACCTTACTGTTTTAGCCTAGCCCTCACGTCTGCGTGCAGCGGCTGCCGCTGCTTTAATACTGTTAGAGGCCCTAAAAATCACAAACTATGCTCAACTCACTCTCTACATTTCTCATAACTTCCAAAATCTATTTTCTTCCTCATACCTGACGCATATACTTTCTGCTCCCCGGCTCCTTCAGCTGTACTCACTCTTTAAGTCCCACAATTACCATTCTTCCTGGCCCGGACTTCAATCTGGCCTCTCACATTATTCCTGATACCACACCTGACCCCCACGACTGTATCTCTCTGATCCACCTGATATTCATCCCATTTCCCCATATTTCCTTCTTTCCTGTTCCTCGCCCTGATCACGCTTGATTTATTGATGGCAGTTCCACCAGGCCTAATCGCCACACACCAGCAAAGGCAGGCTATGCTATAGTACAAGCCACTAGCCCACCTCTTAGAACCTCTCATTTCCTTTCCATTGTGGAAATCTATCCTCAAGGAAATAACTTCTCAGTGTTCCATCTGCTATTCTACTACTCCTCAGGGATTATTCAGGCCCCCTCCCTTCCCTACACTTCAAGCTCGAGGATTTGCTCCCACCCAGGACTGGCAAATTAGCTTTACTCAACATGTCCTGAGTCAGGAAACTAAAATACCTCTTAGTCTAAATAGACACTTTCACTGAATAAGTAAAGGCCTTTCCTACAGGGTCTGAGAAGGCCACCACAGTCATTTCTTCCCTCCTCTCAGACATAATTCCTCAGTTTAGCCTTCCCACCTCTATACAGTCTGATAACAGACCAGCCTTTATTAGTCAAATCAGCCAAGCAGTTTTTCAGGCTCTTAGTATTCAGTGAAACCTTTATATCCCTACGGTCCTCCGTCTTCAAGAAAAGTAGAATGGACTAAAGGTCTTTTAAAAACACACCTCACCAAGCTCAGCCACCAACTTAAAAAGGACTGGACAATACTTTTACCACTTTCCCTTCTCAGAATTCAGGCCTGTCCTCGGAATGCTACAGGGTAGAGCCCATTTAAGCTCCTGTATAGACGCTCCTTTTTATTAGGCCCCAGTCTCATTCGACACCAGACCAACTTAGACTGTGCCCCAAAAAACTTGTCATCCCTACTATCTTCTGTCTAGTCATACTCCTATTCACCATTCTCAACTACTCATACATGCCCTGCTCTTGTTTACACTGCCAGTTTACACTGTTTCTCCAAGCCATCACAGCTGATATCTCCTGGTGCTGTCCCCAAACTGCCACTCTTAACTCTTGAAGTAAATAAATAATCTTTGCTGGCAGGACTATGCTGAATCTCCTTAGGCACTCTCTAATCAGATGTCCTAGGTCCTCCCAATTCTTAGACCTTTTATACCTGTTTTTCTCCTTCTCTTATTCCATTTAGTTTTTCAATTCATACAAAACCGTATCCAGGCCATCACCAATCATTCTATACGACAAATGTTTCTTCTAACATCCCCACAATATCATCCCTTACCACAAAATCTTCCTTCAGCTTAATCTCTCCCACTCTAGGTTCCCACGCTGCCCCAATCCGGCTTGAAGCAGCCCGGAGAAACATCGCCCATTCTCTCTCCATACCACCCCCAAAAATTTTCGCTGCCCCAACACTTCAACACTATTTTGTTTTATTTTTCTTATTAATATAAGAAGGCAGGAATGTCAGGTCTCTGAGCCCAAGCCAAGCCATCGCATCCCCTGTGACTTGCACGTATACGCCCAGATGGCCTGAAGTAACTGAAGAATCACAAAAGAAGTGAAAAGGCCCTGCCCCACCTTAACTGATGACATTCCACCACTGTGATTTGTTCCTGCCCCACCTTAACTGAGTGATTAACCCTGTGAATTTCCTTCTCCTGGCTCAGAAGCTCCCCCACTGAGCACCTTGTGACCCCCACCCCTGCCCACCAGAGAAAAACCCCCTTTGACTATAATTTTCCATTACCTTCCCAAATCCTATAAAACGGCCCCACCCCTATCTCCCTTCGCTGACTCTCTTTTCGGACTCAGCCCGCCTGCACCCAGGTGAAATAAACAGCCATGTTGCTCACACAAAGCCTGTTTGGTCGTCTCTTCACACGGACGCGCATGAAAATTGCCAAAAAAAATCAAATCATAAATTAAATGAGAGTTTCTCATGGCCAAATTCTAGCAAGAACAAAACTACAAAGATGTCCCAAAATTTTTATAGCAAAAATTAACATTTACTGTGGTATATTTTTGGTGTTTGATGTGATGTGAGGTGAGATGTCTACAAAAGTGCCTAGTCTATGTTTGACTATAACTTACTGTTTTTCTCCATTGTAAATAGGCCTAAACTTAGCACCCGGTCTATCCCTTTACTCAGGCCTACTTTTTTTTTTTTTTTTTTTTTTTTGTGAAAAGCTCTCACTCTGTTGCCCAGGCTGGAGTGCAGTGGCATGATCTCACCTCACTGCAACCTGTGCCTCCCAGCCTCAAGGGATCCTACCACCTCAGCTTCCTGAGTAGCTGAGATTACAGACACCTGCCACCACACCAGGATAATTTTTGTATTTTTTGTAGAGACAAGGTTTCACTATGTTGCCCAGGTTGGTCTCGAACTGTTGGACTCAAGCAATCCACCTACCTGGAGGCCTACTCTTAACATTTGCAGGAAAAGGCAAAAATACAAATTCAGCCTCCTGCCCCATGCCCACCTTCCTTCCCATCCCACTTCATCCCAAAGAAAAGCCTTGCACTAGTATCTATGTACAGCTCAGTCCAGCCTCCCTGCTTTGCCAGACAGTCCTGGGAGTGTTCACCCTGTGCCTCTTGGCCCCAGGGAGGCTTTGTAAGCAGGGGTGAGACAGCAGGGTAACAGTGGAGCCCTTTAAAGTATGAGGCCTTGGTAGTACCACTCTAACATTTCTATATTTCTATTATAGGATTTAGTACTATCTAAAGTATTATTTTGCTCGTTTTATCTACTTTTAAAAAGATTTCTTACCACTGCACTAAAAGAAGACTCTATCTATTGTACCTAGAATCACAGGGATTCTGATGCTAGAAGAGCATCTTGCTTATAGCAGATACTAAGTAAATATTTTTTGAAAAAAATAATTATTTTTGATATGATTTTCTTATGAAATGATGGCATTCATATTGGAAAGAATAAAGGCTTTGCAATTGAATAAACTTAAATTTAATTCCATCTCATCCCATTATTAGCCATGATTTTAGTGGATGGGGACAAAATTAAAATCCAGCCCGAGGATTTTTTTATTTTCTCCAAATTTCTATCTTTCAAAATTTCCTGCCTTAGCATGCTCTGTGTATCAAACTGTGGTTTCCACCTGATAGTGGGTTGTCAAAACAACTTGTAATTCCCAAAGTGTGGTCTATGGGGCCCTGGGGGTCCCAAGACTTTTCAGGAAATCTATGAAGTCAAAATTGTCATAATAATATTAAGATGCGAGTTGCCTTTTCCACTATGCTGACATTTGCACTAATGGTGGTACCACACTGTACCAAGTATTTATTCTTCACTGCTGTAATTCACAGTTTCAAAGAAAAATGCCTTTCACTTTAAAATGTCCTTAAAAAAACAGAAAAAGTATTATTATTAATCTCAACCTTTAGTATATATCTTTCCAATATTCTTTGTGACAAAATGGGAATAGTGAAGTAAGATTTTATCTTGAGAGAAATTATTCAATTCAATTGCAAGCTGAACTAGGTACTTTTTTTGGTAGAACACCATTTTTACTTTCAAGAATGACTGACACTTACTGTTATGCAGACTAGGATATTTGGCTGAGATTTTCTTTAACATGGACAAAGTTATTTTGTATCATTTTTGCCCACGAGAAAGTTTAAGTTTCAAGGAAAACCGGAACTTTAGAAACGTATCCAACACTGTGAGCTTGACAGCTTCCCAAAAACTTAATGACTCTTTGGAAGAGATAGATGGTGATATTAACAAATGTGATTTTTAACTATTATATAATGAAGTTTGCAAATATTTGGAAAATCTTCATAACTCAGTGAACCAGTATTTTCCAAACGGCCAATGCATGATAATCCAAAATCGTATATGGGTAAAAGATACATTCACAGTACAAGATAAGCCAATGAATTTTAATGAAAATGTACTTAAAGTTTATTGACAGTTTTAGATTCGATGCTGCAAGTAACTTTTAAGAAAGCTTTTTATGGTCCTCAGCAATTTTTAAGTGAGTAGAGTTCCTGAGATCAAAATGTTTTAGAATAACTGATTTAATGAATTGTGACCAGCATTTTGAAAATGAAGTACAAAATAACATTGTATTTTAATACTATTAAGGTCATATTTTAAATTTACCTTATGTTTCATATTATTATATATTGCATTGGTAAATATAGTTTTTTTGAAACTTTTGTTTCAGTTTTGCAAACACAAACATACACATGTGGGTACTAGGGCACAAGATAAAATTTAGCTTTTACTGTTGCAGTAAAAAGTTTGAAAAAAATATATAGATGCCAAGACCAGCTTGGTAGGGGAGACCTAACCCAGCAGCGCTAGAGGAATTAAAGACACACACACAGAAATATAGAGGTGTGAAGTGGGAAATCAGGGGTCTCACAGCCTTCAGAGCTGAGAGCCCTGAACAGAGATTTACCCATGTATTTATTAACAGCAAACCAGTCATTAGCATTGTTTCTATAGATATTAAATTAACTAAAAGTATCCCTTATGGGAAACGAAGGGATGGGCCGAATTAAAGGAATAGATTGGGCTAGTTAACTGCAGCAGGAGCATGTTCTTAAGGCACAGATCGCTCATGCTATGGTTTCTGGCTTAAGAACGCCTTTAAGCGGTTTTCCGCCCTGGGCGGGCCAGGTGTTCCTTGCCCTCATTCCCGTAAACCCACAACCTTCCAGCTTGGACATTAGCGCCATTATGAACATGTTACAGTGTGGCAGAGATTTTGTTTCTGGACAGTTCGGGGCCAGTTTATGGCTAGATTTTGGGGGGCCTGCTCCCAACATATAGATCATCTGCTTTTTTATCTTTCTATGCCAAGATACTTAGCACTATGTCTGATACATATATTGACTCAATAAATATAGAATAAACTGCCTCTTTTCTCTCATTTTCCACATTTTGTATTAGCATATCCTATCACCTCTGGCTTCAAAACCTTCATTCAACTTTTCCCCTATAGTCTATTCTTTTTTTTTTTTCAGATGGAGTCTTGCTCTGTCGCCCAGGCTGGAGTGCAATGGTGCAATTTTGGCTCACTGCCTCCCAGGTTCACGTCATTCTGCCTAGAGTCCATTCTTAACACAGACACTCGAGTGATCCTGTTACCTCTCTTTATTTAGAAGTTTACCTATTTTTGATACCAATTTCCATCTTCTTTCCATTTGCTCATTCCTTGCTGTCTACCCTGGCCTACCCCTTGTTCATAGAACATACAAGCCTATCACTAGGACTTAGATTTCATTATCATAAATTCTCCATTTGTATCAAGAACAACCAATTACCACCCCATGCCATTGCTGCCTTTATTACCTGCTTCCATATACCACACTTTCCATCAGTGACACCATGTCTTTTCATGAGTCCTTCCACTATTCCCTTGAACTCTACATTGCCAATTGTATTCATCTTAGTAATGAATCAATGGTAATACTCATGCTTGTCATGAATCACTTCAACTAAATGCTAATGAGAAGTTGGCAGAAAGCAGTTAAGAAACTGCTTGCATCTGGATATTGTCTGTAAATCAGCTCTCAACATACATCAAGAGGGAAGTTTAGCTGAAATAATATGAAATACAGTAATAAGCCAAATACTATTTTCTGGAATGAAAAGCAAAATTCTTCAGATGCACCAGTTCTAAAACAGACAGTAGGAAAGTTAGAAATGTGAATCAAGATTTTAAGGAAACAATTTTAACAAATTATTCTATGTCTAAATTGAGTGAGCTCTGAGATTGTTGATAAACTGATGCTAGAAAAAAAATGGTTAGGAACACAGAGGTGCTGTCTCTCTATTCTTTCCATCACATCAACCAAATTCTTAAAGTTCTTATTATTAATATTGTAAAAGCAACTTTATTAGGGTGTTCTTGCATTGCTATAAATAAATACCTGAGACTGGATAATTTATAAAGAAAGGTTTAATTGGCTCACAGTTCTGCAGGCTATACAAGAAACATAGCAGCATCTGCTTCTGGGAGGCCTCAAGAAGCTTCCAATCATGGCAGAAGGCAAAGAGGGAGCAGGACATCACATGGCAAAAGCAGGAGCAGGGTGGAGGGGTTGCACCACATTGTACAACAACCAGATCTCACTCGAACTCTCTCACTATCACGAGGACAGCATCAAAGGAATGGCGCTAAACCATTCATGAGAACTTCACCCCGATGATCCGATCACCTCCCATCAGGCCCCACCTCCAACATTGAGGATTACATTTCAACATGAGCTTTGGGTGGGGCAACTATATCAGCAACTTTGAGTTTAGATGTTAAATTGTCTGACCAACTAGTGTTAAAAAATTTTTTTTAATTATACTTCTATATTCTCTGAATTTATATATATCCTTCTGCCAAAAGGAGATAATAGTTAGAACAGCTGCTTTTCCTGGAATTAATATATAATCCTAAATTTAATTTCTGTGATAATAGAAAGTTGTTAAATAAATAATTAAAAGCTAGTATTACTACAGTATTTTTTAAAAAAATCTTTTCAATATTGAAAGTAAATTTTACTTTCAAAACTACCATAATTCTTTCTTGCAAAAGTTGCCAGAAAATCACAGAGAATAGATTTAATAGTTATTTCCCAGATTGCAGAAAATGAAATGCTTTTTTATACATGACTAACTAGTAGTCCTATTCCAACCCCCAAATGATTATAAATCACATCTGATTTCTGCAACGTTTATTTCACATAATACTATAATTGTACTTTATGAATACTTTTATAGGCTTGGTTATGATTATAAATCACATCAGATTTCTACAACGTTTATTTCACATAATATTGTAATTGTACTTTATGAATACTTTTATAGGCTAGGAGGAACAGAAAACAATGGTAGAAGAAAATTTTACCTTATTTATGAGAAAGGAAATGACCAAAAAAGAGAAAGTGAGGGGAGAAAAATTAATGTAAAAAAATTACTGATTAAGATGGTTTAAGATAAAGCAAGATCATCATAGGAAAAAAAAGACCAGTTTTCAAAGAAGTCTGATACCCACTGATGTCACCTTAAGCCCAGAACCTAGTACTTCATTCTTAGTATGTTAATTGTTCCACCTCACTCTAGAATATCACCAAAGTGTTCTCTTACCACCTTTAATCCCTGGGGTAGTCTGGAATTTTTGTTTGTTTGTTTGTTTGTTTTTAAATGGACTCTCGCTCTGTCGCCCAGGCTGGAGTGCAGTGGCATGATCTCAGCTCACTGCAAGCTCCGTCTCCTGGGTTCACACCATTCTCCCGCTTCAGCCTCCCGAGTAGCTGGGACTACAAGCGCCCGCCACCACGCCTGGCTCATTTTTTTGTATTTTTAGGAGAGACAGGGTTTCACCGTGTTAGCCAGGATGGTCTCGATCTCCTGACCTTGTGATCTGCTGGCCTTGGCCTCCCAAAGTGCTTGGAATGTTCTTAATCAACACAGGCAATATAACTAAAATTATAACACAGAATTATAACTAAAAGTAAATCTGATTTCGTAGAAACAGAGATATTGGGCCTGGGATAAAGGGATGCCCAAAATTGTGGCATTATTGCTCTAAGGCCATTAGACAACACTTTCTAAGATCCACATTTAACAAATCAAGTCAAGCTAATTCTGTATCCTAAATATATCTCTTTTCAATGAACACAAAAAGGGAACTTCCGCTTTGGGGAAAATCGAATAGACATACTTTTATCTATTTCTCCCCTGAAGTACAACTAAAATTTCTGAACATTATATATAAAACAAACACAAAAAGACTCTGAAAGTGGGAGAGAAGATGGCAGACTGGCTAGGGACATTGGAAGTGAAGAAAAATGTTGTGAGTCCCCTGCATTTTTTTTTTTTTGTATTTGCTTTTGCCTTATAGATCTCAGACTTAGAGCTGAAGAACCTGACTACATAGCAATGCCAATAGGTGCAGATGAAAACCCCCAACAAAAAGCTGTTCTCTCTAGTCAAAGAGCTAGAAAAACCAAAAATTCTTGGACAATAACCTCTCTGTTCAAGCCAGACACCACAGAAAAAAACTATGGTCCATTCCCACACAAGCCAGCAAAGGCCCAGTGGGAGCTTAGACTTCCACTCTTGTGAGCCTCAGGCTAGATGCCCAAACCACCACCTCACATTCCCCACTAGGGTGGTGTCAAAGGGATGACAGTAGGGAACTGGTACTTTCACCCTCACCAGGAAGTAGTAAGCCTCTTCCCTTTCATAAGCATCTGGCATTTCCCCTGCTTGCACTCAACTCTGTCCTGCCACCCTGTGAAGAAGGTGCCTGCTTCTCCTTTGCCTTCTGCCATGATTGTAAGTTTCCTGAGGGTTCCCCAGCCATGTGGAACTGTGAGTGAAGTAAACCTCTTTCCTTTATAAATTACCCAGTCTTGCATATTTCTTCATAGCAGTGGGAGAATGGTCTAATACACCAGACAATCAACAGATGTCAACACTGAGCTAATAGAAATGTTAGAATTATCTGAAAAAAGGTTTTAAAGCAGCCATTATAAAAATTATTGCTTCAAATGGAATAATAAATAGCAATAAAAAGCAAATAAAAGAAAGTAAAGAAGTAGGAGATATAAATAAAAACCAATGTGAATTTTAGAACTAAAACAACAGAAGAACCAAATTTTAAAACTCAGTGGAAGAGCTCAGCAGCAGAATAGAGAAGACAGAAGAAATAATCAGTGAACTTGAAGATACATCAATAGAAATGATACAATATGGATAACAGAGAGAAGGTAGACTAAACAAAAAGTGAACAGAGCCTCAGGGACCTTTGAGATCATAACAAAAGATTAAACATTACTGTAATTAGAGTCTTGAAGGGAGAGGAGAAAGACAGCAGAGCTGGTAAATACTCTAACAAACAATAGCTAAAAACATTCCAAATTTGGCATAAGATATAAATGTACAGATTCAAAAAGTTAAGTGGACCCCAAAAAGGAGAAGCCCAAAGAAATTCATACCAAGACCTATAATCGTCAAACTTGTAAAAACTAAAGACAAAGAAAAAAATCTTGAAAGCAGAGAGACAGAAATGACACCTTATCTATTAGGAAAAACAATTTAAATAAAAAAGGCTTTTCATCAGAAACCATGCAGGCCAGAAGGAAGTAGAAAACATTTTTTCAAGTTCTGGAAGAAAAAAAAAAGAATTATCAACCCCAAATCCTATACCCACCAAAAATATTCCTCATGAATGAAGAAATCAAGACATTATCAGATAAAGAAAAATAAAGAAAATTTATCATCAGCAGACCTACCCTTTAAAAATTCCTGAAAGAAGATTCCTAAACAAAAATAAAATGATAAAAGAAGAAATATTTTTGAAAGATTACAATTAAAGAACATGGTAAGCAAAAATATGGGTAAATAAGGTAGACTTTTTTTCTCCTCTTGAGTTTTTTGAAGAATTCTGGCTGTTGAAGCAAAAATTAAAACAATCTGATGTGGTTATAAATATAGATTGTGGAAATATTTAAGACAAAAAATGTAAAAGCAGATATGATTTCTACACTTGACTCAGACTGGAAAAATGACAACATTAATAGGCTATGGTAAGTTTTACATTTATATATATATATATAGTGGCTATATATATTTAGTGGCTATACATATATATATATATATATATATATATATATATATATAAAGCAACCACTTTAAAAAGCTATACAAAGATATATACTCGAAAAAATGGTATGTGTACATCAAAATGGAATTCTAAAAAATGTTTAAGTTACTTGCAGAATGGCAGGAAAAACAAAACAAAACAACAGAAAGAACAAACAGTAAAATATGGAAGACTTAAGTTTCAACATACCAGTATTTACATTGAATATGCATGGCCTATATACACCCATTAAAAGATAGAGATTGGAACAGTTTGTTAAAAACATGACCAAAATATATGCTTTTTATAAGAAACTCCCTTCAAATATAACAATATAGGCAGATTTAAAGTGAAAGGGTAGAAAAAGATAAACCATGCAAATATTACTCAAAGGAAAGTAGGAGAGCTATATTAATATCAGATAAAGTGGACCTCAGGGCAAAGAAAACAAAACGAACAATACCTTAGGTCTGCCTAGGTCTGATATTGTTCCCCCTCAATCCATTTTCCTCAGTGTGAGAAGAGTGTTCTTCCTAAAATGCAGATTCTGTCCTGTCATTCCCTTGCTTAAAATCCTCCCATTCTTTTAGGATGAAGGCTGAACTCCTTATCAAGGTTTAGAGATGCCTCATGATTGTGCTCCTGACTGCTGTCTTTCCTGATTTCTAGCTTCTCCTCTAGCATTTAATGTATGCTCCAACCATACTGAAACAAATAAATTTAGGTGCTGTGCTCTATCTCAATATCATAACTTTGCAAATAACTTTGCAAATGATTTCCCACTGCCAGAGATTTCTTACTGTGGCTTTTCCACCACTGTCCAGTTGGGTAATTATTTCAAGTTTTAGATAAATGCCATTTCTGCCATAAGTTTGTGTTCCACACTAAGTTAAGACCCCTGCAGCTATGTACTGCCATAACACCTTACAGTCATAACAGAACACTAGTCATACCTTACTGTAATTGCATGTTTAATCACACACCTCCCCTCGATGCAGTAAAGGGAATGCTCAATAGATGTTAATGTTTATCCATACTCCTTCCTTTCCTTTGATCTGAATGTAGTCCACCTCCTGAGAGTCACTGCAGCATCTTAGACTCTGAAATGCGGCCTTTCCTGTTAAGTGATAGGCTATGATGAATTATTTGATGGTAGGAGCCATGCTATATTCATCTATTTATTCTTACCTTCTGGCACATAGTAGATGCTCAGTAAACATTAATCATATGAACAAATGCATAAGTAAATAAACAAATGAGTAGAATTAATGCCAGAAAACAAAGGAGACCATTGAATATAGATATGGTTGTCATTAATTTATAATATAACTTTTCCTTTTAATTTTGAAAAATTAAAAGCTGCTAAAGAGTTGAAAGAATAAGACAATGAACACCTATATAACCTTCACTCAGATTTACCAATTGTCAACATGTTCTAAGATACAATTTTCCTCACTCTATATGTATTTATTTTTCTAAAACATTTGAAAACACATTGTAGATGTCAAGACACTTCACTCTTAAATACGTGGGCACATATGTCCTAAGAAAAAGACATTCTCCTTTATATCTACAGTGTAATTACCATACCCAAGAGGGTTAATAACAATTCAATAATATCATCAAATACATGGTCAATATTTAAAGTTTCCCATTTTTTAAACAGTATGCGTACTTGCACTTTTTAAATCGAGAAATTAATAAAAGTTTATGCACTGTATTTGGTATTCATCTGTTTTTAGCCTTAAAGTAATTTTAAAATAAATAGCAATATGGTTAATGCTCACAATTTTAAGGCTGAGCTTCTTAGAGTGGTTATATAGTACAGTATATTGATTGAAGAGGAGTCACTATGTTCCAGAATTTGATTAACATATTTGCAAGTTCAGAAACTTAACATTATCTATCATCAAAAGATCATGCTCTGAGATATAAAGTACCTACTTGTCAACTTACCTCCTTATTTTCTACTGTATCTAGATGCTACCTTCCACAAGGCAATCTATTTTTGCTGATAAACAGTTCTGTTACTGTTATGTAACAGTGGGCTCACTGCAGCCTCAACTTCCTGTGCTCAAGTGAGCCTCGTGCATCAGCCTCTCAAGACCACAGACATGCGCCACACCACCACACCCAGTAGTTTTTGTATTTTTTGTAGAGACAGAGTCTTGCCATGTTGCTCAGGCTGGTCTTGAACTCCTGAGCTCAAGTAATCCCCCTACTTTGGCCTCTCAAAGTACTGGGATTAGAGGCATGAGCCACTGTGTTTGGCCCAAAATTTTGAATCACCACTGAGCACTGAGACATACCCACCTGGTGTTTGTCTTCCATGAGTTGACTCATTTAAGGAAGATGACTCTGCCTAAGTGAGATGACATTATAATATTATGGTCACCTATCCCTAAAAGAGGATGCATTTTGGAATCAGGAATGATATGGGGCTGTACCACATGAGCAAGTTGTTTGGTCTCCAAGTGGCTGACTCTGAATCCCTACTATTGTATTACAAACTAGAGTCTCCCTGCCATCTTTAGATGAGGCAGGACATTAAAAATATGGTATCTTTCTTGCCTGTGTCAGTGAATCTTCAGATAGGAAATTGTTTTTAATTTCCTTAGCCTAAAAGAATAATTAGTTTCCTCATCTGGAATGAGTATCATTATGAAATTATTATTAGCTTTGCTTTAGTAAATTATCTATAAAATATGAGAGAGAAGATTTGACTATAAAGCTAGTTTCAGCACACAGATTCAACTATGGCATCTTTTTAATAGCTTTATTGAGATATAATTTGTGTACCATACAATTAAACCATTTAAAGTACACAACTCTTTGGTTCTTAGTATATTCACAGTTATACAACCATCACCACAATCAATTTTAGAACATTTTCATCACACTGAAAAGAAATCATGTATCTATTAGCAGTCACTCCCCATTGCCTCCCAGAATCTTCCTGGCCAGGCCTGGCTAGGCACTATTCTACTTTCTGTCTCTATAGAGTTCCCTGTTCTGGATATATCACATAAAAGGCAGTACACAATATATGGTTTTTGTGAGTGGCTTCTTTAATGTAGCATAATGTTTGCAAGATTTATTCACTTTGTAGAATCCATGTTGTTGAAGCATCAGTACTACATTCATTTTCAGACAATAATATTTCTGTGTATTGAATATATAATATTTTGTTTATCAACTGACAGACTTTGGGTTGTTTTCACATTTTGCCTGCTATGAATAATGCTGCTATGAAGATTTATGAACAAGTTTTTATTTGAGCATGTTTTGCTTTCTCTTGGGTATATACCTAGGAGTGGAATTACTGGACCACATGGTTACTCTTTTTAACATTTGAAGGAAGTACCAAGCTGTTTTCCAAAGTGGCTGTATAAGTTTACCTTTCCACAAGCAATGTATGAAAATTCTAATTTCTCTACACCTTTGCCAACCATTGTTATTATTTGTCTTTTTGATTATAGTCATTTTAGTGAACATAAATTGGTATCTCATTGTGGCTTTGATTTTTATTTTTCTAATGACTGATGATGTTGAGTATCTTTTCATGGGCTTTTTGTCATTTGTATGTCTTCTTTAGAAAAATGTCTATTCAGATTATTTGCCTATTTTTTAATTGGGTTGTCTTTTTACTGTTGAGTTCTCAGTGTTCTTTCATATTCTAAATTCAAATCCCTTATCAGATATCATGATTTGCAAATATTTTCTTTCTTTCTGTTTCTCTTCACTTTCTTGGTATTGTCCTTTGAAGCACAAAGGTTTTTTATTTGAATAAATCTAATTTATCTATTTGTTTGTTTTATTCCTTGTGTGTTTGGTGTCATATCTAAGAAATCATTGCCTAACAACAGGTCACAAAGATTTATGCCTATATTTTCTTCTAAGGGTTTTCTAGTTTTAGCTGTGACATTAGAGTCTTTGATCAATTTTAAGTTGATTTTTTTATATGGTGTGAGCTAGAAGTCCAACTTCATTCTTTTGCAGGTTGATACTCAGTTGTCCCAGCATCATTTGTTGAAAAGAATATTCTTCCTCCATTAAATTGCTTTTGACGTCCATGTTGAAAGTCAGTAAGTCATAAATGGGAGGCTATATTTTTGGCTCTCACTTTTATTCCATTCATCTATATGTCAAATTTTATGCCAGTTTCATAATGTCTTGATGATTGTAGCTTTGTAGCACGTTTGAAATTGCAAAGTGTGAGTACTCCAACTTTTTTGTCTTTCAAGACTGTTTTGACTATTATGGATTCTTTCAATTCCCATACAAATTTTAGAGTTGGTTCATCAATTTCTGCAAAAATGTGAGCTAAGATTTTGATAGGGATAGTAATGAATCTGTAGATCAATTTGGAAAGTATTGTCTTCTTAAAATATTGAGTCCTTCAGTCCATGAACGTGATATATCTTCCCAGTTATTTAGGTCTGTTAACATTTCTTTCAGCATTATAAATGAGAATATAAGTTTTGCACTTCTTTTGTAAAATTTATTCCTGTTTTATTATTTTGGATGCTATTGTAAATAGAATTGTTTTCTTAATTTTATTTTCAGATTGTTCATTACCATCGTATGAAAATACCACTGATTTTTGTATATCGTATATTGATTTTTGTATTTTGTTTAGTTATCTTATACTTCACTGAACTTATTAGTTCTACATGTTTTTGGTATCTCAATGCAACAGTTTTTATTCTTTGTGTAACCCTATGGAAATAATTTTATTTTTCTTTTGGAACTAAAATACATGGTTGGTTTCATTTGCTAAGTAAAATTTGTTATGAAATTGGAGCAGCATATGTTAGGACTTGAAAATCTGCATCCAAATATTTGAAAAGCTGCTGTAGATATAGGCTGCATATTGGGCATCAGTTTGGACATTAGTGTGCATTTTACAGAGTTTTAAAATGCAAACTATTTTTTAATCTAAAAAAAGTACTTTTTATGTAAAGGATTTCATTAATCCTTAAGTACTTGTTAAGGAAAGAACTTGATCAAAATGATAGTACAATTAGATCAAACATACATTTAGAAAATAATTAAGACCATTTGGTTTCACTGAACAATGAACAGCCAGCTTATTGTTATTTCTCTATTAGTTCTTTTACTTATTTGACCATTCAATGATAATCTATTATGTGCCTACAACTCTAGTTAGAGAAGCAGAGATGAGACAATGTTCTTTTCCTCAAAGATCTTAGTCTAGCATCTGGTTGTAACTGGAAACCCCAAATTACTGTAGCTAATAAGTTTCTAATAAGCATAAATAATTATTAATAAGCTTGCTATTTAATACTTCTTAATCTTTCAAATACTATACAGAATACCTAAGAATAATATCTCTCAGCACAATTTCCCAGACATTTGAGGCAGTGATTTGGTGAACAAAATCTATATATAAGAAAAAAGTTTAAAAAGTATATAGCACAATTTTATAGTTTTGGGGTTGTGATAGCATGGCCATTCGGCAAATTTCGACTGCTCCATTTTTTAGAATAAAAGAATCAGAAATAATAAGAGGATCATTCCACAGGGCGGTCTAAAAGTAGAAATAGCTTCTGAAAAAGGTAAATCTAATATCATTTGCAGTTTAGCATAACCCAGGAAGTGACCACTAAAAGATCCTTTTGAAATTTCCTGAACCTTTGCTCCTGCCCAACATATTATTTCTGTTTGTTTTTCTATATGAATATCAATAAAACCCTTAAAATGGAAAGAATCACCAGGGAAGGGAGATCTGAGAGATACGTGCTTTTGCATGGCTGGCCCTGGAGAGACAGGAGCCACAAGGGAGAGGGCAAAGACCCTGGACTGAGGAGCCTGTTGAGGAGTCCCTTTAAAAGAGGTCTCTAGGCTGGGTGTGGTGGCTTATCCCTGTAATCCCAGCACTTTGGGAGACCGAGGCAGGCGGATCACAAGGTCAAGAGTTCGAGACCATCCTGGCCTACATGGTGAAACCCCATCTCTACTAAAAATACAAAAATTAGCTGGGTGTCGTGGCATGCACCTGTAATCCAGCTACTTGGGAGGCTGAGGCAGGACAATTCCTCAAACCCAGGAGGTGGAGGTTGTAGTGGGCAGAGATGCCTCCACTGCACTCCAGCCTGGTGACAGAGCAAGAATCCATCTCAAAAAAAAAAAAAGTCTCTAGGGCAGTGGTCGATGACCTTTTTGACACCAGGGACTGCCTTCATGGAAGACAATTTTTCCATGGACAGGGTGGTGGGTGGAATGTTTTCGGATGAAACTGTTTCACCTCAGATCATCAGGCATTAGATTATCATAAGGAGCACACAACCTAGATCCCTCGCATGCATAGTTCCCAATAGTGTTCGTGCTTCTATAAGAATCTAATGCCACTGCTGATCTCACAGGAGGTGGAGCTCAGGTGGTAATGTTAATTTGCCTACCACTCACCTCCTGCTGTGCGGCTGGGCTCCTAATAGGCCACAGACTGGGGTTGGGGACCCCTGCTCTAGAGGATTACTCCAGCTCCTGTGCTCCTACTTATTTCTTTTCACAAGTGTTTCCATCTCTCAGGGGAAAATACTTATTTTTTTCTTCAAGACTGTATTTCCATAAACCCCTGCCTTGTGTTCTGATGAATTCAAGAAAAGCAAACAAAAAACAAACTCATTTTTTCCTTATGGAATAAATCACTTTGGATTACATAGCAAAGGCTAACATTGATAGACTGCATATCCCATGCCAGACACTCTATATTTGCTATTTCACTGAATCTCCTAGGAGCTCCATGGTATATGGTATGTCCTGCAATTCCAGTCAATTTGCAGAAGACAGAAGTGAATTGTTTAGTTGGTCTTACAACTACTGAGTGCTGTGGCTAGGAATCAAAGGCTTCATAATCTTAAAACATAACCACCTTGAAGCTTCTTTCAAGCCCTTTCTTAATCCTGTTTTTCTAATGGCTATCTTGTTTACTGAATTCATCAGTACTTTGCTTTCTTGGCTAATATGATTTGCCCAAGTAGTAAACAGACTGTAAACCTCCCAGCTTCTGTTAAAGCAGTAATGCCAAGGGACTTACTGCCTCAGAGAACAGCTGTGTTATCTTCTCAAGTCACGATATTCCCCCAGGTCTCCGCATCTTTGTCTGTGAAACTCAGGAGTTAGATTTGATTATCTTTGAGCTCAAGGATTCTGTTGCTGATTTTCCGTTCTGGGAAAAATTATAGACGTCACAAATGCTTCCAGAGTATAATTGATTAAATCTCACTAGATCATTTTTGTTCCAGAACAAGGTCCAGAACGACCTTGTTCATTAAGAGAAAATTTTAAGGTCATTAAGAGAAAAATTTTTTCTTATCAAATCTTCTTTTAGGCAGCTAGGAAAATAAAAAATGTAAGCCTGAAAAAAAAATCAAAATTTTTGTGGTAAAATATACAAAACATAAAATGTGCATGTTAAGCATTAGGCACACAGTTCTTTGTCATTAAATATATTCACATCATTATGAAACCATCACTATCATCCATCTTCTGCCATCATCTTCTCCACTGAAACTGTACCCATTAAACACGAACTTCTCATTTCTCCCTCCTCCCAGCCCCTGACAGCCATATTTGATTTTTTGTCTCTGTGAATTTGACTCCTCTAGGAACCTCATATAAAAAAATGCAATCTTTCTCCTTTTGTGACTGGCTTATTTTACTTACCATAGTGTTTTCAAGTTTCATCTGTATTGTAGCTTGTGTCAGAATTTCCTTCCCTTTTAAGGCTGAATCATATTCCATTGTACAGCACATATACATACCAAATTTTGCTTATTCATTCATCTGTTGATAGACACTAGGGTTGCTTCCATTTTAGCTATTGTGAATAATGCTGCTACAAACATGGGTGTAGAAATATCTGTTTGAGTCCCCGCTTTCATGTTTTAAGGGTATATATCCATGTGGCATTTATATTTTGTGATAATTCTATGTTAAAATTTTTTGAGGAACTGCCATACCATTTTCTACAGTGCTACACCATTTACATTTCCACCAACAATGCAGAAGCGTCCCAATTTCTCCACATCCTTGCCAATACTTGTTACTTTCTGTATTTGTTTTGTTTTGGTTTTGATAATAGCTATCCTAATGGGTGTAACATGGTATCCCATTGTGGGTTTGATTTGCATATCCCTAATGACTAGTGATGTTGAGCATCTTTTCATGGGATTGCTATTTGTATATCTTTTTTGAAGAAATGTCCATTTAAGTCCTTTGCCCATTTTTAATTGGGTTATTTGGTTTCTTGTTCTTGAGTTGTTAAAAACTACTATAGTTTGAATGTGTCCCCTCCAAAATCCATATTGAAACTCCATTCCCATTTGGCGGTGTTAAGAGGTGGGGCCTTTCAGAAAGTGACAAAGTCATGAAGGATCCACCTTCAAGAATGGATCCGTGCCTTATAAAAGTGCTGGAGGAAAGTAGTTTAGGCCTTTTGTTCTCCTGCTGTTTCTCCACATGAAGATACATACACAGCATCATGCATGAGAAATGGGCCTTCACTGCTTGCTCTTGATCTTGGACTTCCCAGCCTTCAGAACTGTGACAAATAAATTTATGTTCTTTATGAATTAGCCGGCTTGTGGTATTTGGTTACAGTAACACAAATGGACTAAGACAGTAAGACAGGAGTTTTTTTAAAAAGATATTCTTGATGTCAATCCTTTATCAGATATATGACTTGCAAGTATTTTTTCCCATTCTGTGGGTTGCGTTTTTCACTCTGTTGCTAGTATCCTTTTATGTACAAAAAGTTTTAATTTTGATGAAGTCCAACCTATCTGCTTTTTAAATTTTGCTTCTTGTGTTTTGGTGTCATATCCAAAAAGTCATTGCCAAATTCAATATTATGAAGGGTTTTTAAATTTTTCTTCTATGAGTTTTATAATTTTTATCAGTTATATTTAGGTCTTTGATTCATTTTGAGCTCATTTTTGTATATGGTGTAAGATAAGCCTCCAACTTTCTTTCTTTCTTTCTTTCCTTCTTTTGTTCTTTTTGCATGTGGATATTCTGTGTTCTCAGCATAATTTATTGAAAAGATTGTCTTTTTCCATTGAATGGTCTTGGCCCACTTCTCAAATATATGCAAGCTTGTCAAATATATGCTTGTGGAATATACACTTGACCGTACATGCAAGATTTTACTTCTGGTCTGTCTGTTCTACTCCATTCCTCTATGTGTCTGTCTTTATGGCAGAACCACACTATATTGATTACCATGGCTTTATAGTAAATTTTAAAATCAGAAAGTATGGGATCTCCAAACTTGTTCTGAGTCAAGATTGTTTGGTTATTCGGGAAAAGTTAATTTTTTCATGTGAAAGTAAATGAACTTAAAAGTATGATTAAAATAAACATTTTATCACAGGAATACAATTACATATTTTATTCATGAATGAATGGGAACTTGTTGTCAAGGACCTATTTCTTCGGTGGGGGAGATGGGTTCTAAATGAGATACAAAGTAAACGTGAAGTAAAAGAAACTATTAACCAAGCAAATTTCAAAGAAGTAAGAAATTATTTCTGCTGAAGGTTAACAAAGAACATTTCCTTGAGGAGGAAGTGAAATTTGAACTCGGTACAAAAAACTTAGAAAGCCAAGTGGGGTAGGGGTATATTTGTTAATTAATTTGTTATTCTACTTTCTACTTCTACTTTAGTTCTATATGCAATGTTGGATACTTCTAATCTGTTTTTACATTATTTTTAAAGCTGTGGTTAAAAAAGAAAGCTCAAATAGCTACTTACGTAGTATCTATAATTTGTCTCTTCATGTACTTTTCCAACTTTGAAAAATAATTCCACAAATGTTTTCAACATGCTTTCAGAATTAATGATTTTTAAAGTCTCATTTAAAAAAATTATTTTGAGTTTCTATTTGGGGTGATAGAAGAGTTCTAGAAATAGATAGTGGTGATGATTACACACATTTTAAATGTATGTATTGCCACTGAATTGCAAACTTTAAAATGGTTAAAATGATACATTTTGTTATATCTATTTTACCACTATTTTTATAGAGACTAATTCACTGTCTCAGATATAATAATGTTTTATGAAATGAAAACTTCTTTAGATGTCGTCCAGAATAAAAAGAAACTATTATGTGTGTAGTTGACTACCTATGGGAAGTTTGAAACTTATTATAGGGAACATGGAAATATTGATAATTTCTGCTTTTATGGGTGGATTTATGCTTCAACGTAGGGAAACTGATGATGTGGCACTACGAATAAATAAAAGGGCATCCAAGAAATTCTGGAAAGTAAACCGGAAGATTTTTGTTTGTTTGTTTGTTTGTTTGTCTTGTTTGAGACAGAGTTTCGCTCTTGTTGCTCAGGCTGGAGTGCAATGGCGCGATCTTGGCTCACCGCAACCTCAACTGGAAGATTTTTATGTAAATGATACATTTAAAAGCAACTTAAGAGGAAAATGATTATTTAATTTCTCCAGATAAATACGAGAAGATATACACCCAAGTTGGAAAGTCAAGTAGATTGAGTAATTTTTCAAATGAAAATGAAGAGTCAATACCTTGTGCCTAGTCAAGATTTTTTGCTCCAAAAATGCAGAGGGCTTGAAGAGAGAAGTCAATCCAGGCCTGGTGGCCAACCAGAAAAGACCCCAGAGATCTTTGGCTTTTCCTCAACTCTATGAATTCTCTCTCCCTTGTGGGTTCTTTCAAAGATAAATCATAATCCTGAACATCAGATCCCCTTTCCTTGGTAGTCTCCAAGCAAGCATTCTAGATCAAAATGTCAGAAGGACCTAGAAAGGATTATTCAGCTCTTTAAAAGAACGGCAGATTGCCTGAGATGAATAAGGCTGTGAGGCGCTCCTTCTACTCCACAGTCAGCCTTTAGAATGTGCTCCTTTCAAATTTCTTATGCAGAAGTAAAGAGTAGCTCTAAGTTTGACTAGATTAGGAGCATGCCTGTGTTTACGAAATATTGGTTAAGGCCTACTTTGTGTGATGTAGAGTAAAAAAAATGAGTGAGACAAGGAAGCCACTGTCTTCAAGGAGCTTTGAGAAGAAAAGGAGACAAACTGACATAATAAATATTTGCAAAGCAGCTCAATAAGTATTAGACTCATGGTGTGTTCATTCATTCAGTGATCACTGATTAAGCGTCTTCCATGAACCGTTACTGATTCTAGGATATGGGCTGATATAAATGGATAACATGCACTTGTGCAACTACATATAGAACACTGAAAGTGCACTGCAACCAGAGAAGTGAAAAGGAGCAAGAGCCCTGGATAACTAACATGCAGCATTTATTGAACCTTTTCCATATTTCAGTCACTTTACTAAGCACTTTGCTTTTAACTCATCTATTCCTCATCATATTTTTTGAAATAGGAATTAACATCCTCACCTTATAGTCGAGGACACTAAGGCTTAAAGAGTTTAAGTAATTCACTCACATAATTGCATAATTTTCAGAAGTATTTTTGTCAAACAAATATAATCTGGTATTTGTTGTTTTTAAAATTAGTATCTACATGACAGAAAAAGAAGATATATGAAGAAAGTTCCTATGGACATACTGTAAATATGGTTTCCTCTGGGCAATAAGACTGAAAGAGAAAATAGATGATCAATTTTTACCATTTGTTTCTGATATAGTTTGGTAATTTTTCCCCACCCAAAGCTCATGTTGAATTGTAATCCCCAATGCTAGAGGTAGAGCCTAGTGGGAGGTGTTTGGGTCATGGCAGTGGATCTCTCATGGCTTGGTGCTCTCTTTGCAAATGAGTGAGTTTTCACAAGATCTGGTCATTTAAAAGTGTGTGGCACCTCCCCCACCCCACTTTCTCTCTCTGTGGCTCCTGCTTTGTCCCTGTGATGTACCTGCTTCCACTTTGCCTTCTGTCATGAGTAAAAACTCCTTAACGCCGCCCCAGAAGCTGAGCAGATGCTGGAGTTATGTTTTCAGCGTACAGCCTGCGGAACTGTGAGCCAATTAAACCTCTTTTCTTTATAAATTACCCACTCTCAGGTATTTCTTTTTAGTAATGCAAGAATGACTTAATACAATTTCTTAGTGATGTTTTGAATATTTTTATGACAACTGTCATACATTATTTTGTAGTAAAAAATGTTTTGCTTTAAAAAATGGGGAGGTGGGGAGTTCTCTAAAGTCACACGACAAGAGTTATTCAAACTCTGGGTTTTTTTACTGCAAATATTATATCCTTAGGCACCACATTGTTTTGCATCTAAACTCCAGTATAAAATATGTATAAGCTTCTACCTCCTTTACCTTCTGTAGGGCAGTTCTCTGGGTGCCCCTTTGGACAAACCCAGTTTTTCTGCCTTCCTCCCTTTTAGTTCTCAAGAATAACTGTAGAATGTGCTGGGATAAGGGGGAGCTAGTCCAAATAGCTCTGGCTTGTTCTAACCCCCCAGAAGAGGATGTTCATTAATACTTTAGCTCAGCATGTCATAATCCCCTGGGGCATAAAACCAGGGAAGGCTGTTTTCTGGGGTTTCTCAACTGCCTTGGGTGACTTTCCTGAGCCGTGAAGAACTGGCTCACAATGAATCCCAGGTTTCTGTAAACTCTTGCTGCTATCTATAATAAAATATCTAAATATAACTTGTGTGAGGGGTATTCTGTCTCACTAGATTCAGACAAATTGGTAATCAATGCACAGTGAACCTGTTTCACAACCCTTTTTGAATAATTCATCAGATATAGTTCTAGAGGCCCTGTTTGATGATAATAAAACTTTGTTAATTGAAAGAAAATTAAAAAGCTCTTACTATATTAAAACATGTTCAAACATTCCAACTAAGTCTTTAGAGGCTGGTAATAGAGGTCCCTTAGGAGGCCTGAGTTGCAGAGATCTTGCCTTGTGAGAGACATAGAGCAGACATTATGCTCAAAGAGTGCACAAGAAGTTCTGTAGCATTCTTTAGTTGTTACTTTGGTTTCGGTTTTGTTTTCCTGACAACAATTAATCTATATAATTCTCCAGGAATTATTTACTACCACTTCCATAATGAAGAGAGCTAGAAAAGAAGGAAGTGAATGTGGCAAGAGTCTTTTACATTTGTGAATTTATATTCTCTGTAGGAAAATAAAAGTCTATTTCTTTTGTGTCCTCCATCTAAGCTAGGTTAGAGTTATCTTCCCTTAGAAATCAAAATAATGGGAAAATGAAACAATTGGCATTCAATTGAAGCAAAAAATAAATAAATAAATGAGTATTAAGTTTGAGAAGCTTGTTGTTCATTGGGTCTAACCACGAAGTGATTAGCTTTCTATATTTAGTTGTCAGAAGAGGGATTTTCACTGGATACAAATATTTAAATGGCTTATTAATGGAAAAAACCAAACTAGAGATTTCAGGATTTGGGATGTGACTTCAAAATAGCAGTAAGAACATTTATTAAATGGTCAACTTTTTAATGCATAAATAAGCTTAGAATTAGAATACTGTAGTATAACTTCTCTTGAGTGTCCTTGTTGCACTTGAGTACAAGCAATCATCACTGCATCCATTTTCATTTTCCCTTGAGCTTGCTTTCCCTAATTAAGAGGGTTAGTAATGGCACTTACAGTTCATCTAATCTGGCTTTAAGTAATTATGGTTCATTGCAGCAATTACAAGTTACATTTATAAAGAACAATAAAGGGGAAAACCTTTCAAATGCAGTTTATTAGGCTTTGAAAACCTGCTACAGAATGGACACTCAATATATATTTACTAGGCAATCAAATACTTTAGTGAGAATATGAATTAAGACTAAGAAATTCACATCCATGACTGTCTTTAAACTGTGACTCCAAACCCATTTCTTCCACAATACTCTCCTAATACCAGAAAAGCACAGCCACTCTAATGCTTCTTCAGCATTGCATATAGACAACCCATAATATTAATTAACATAGTCCATAAAATATGGTTCTTTTAAATATTTCATGTTTTCTTTTCTGTTTATAGTGTTTTCATTTATACGTAAGTTCCATGAGGACAGAAATCATCATCTCTATTTCTTTTGCTTCTTTTGGCAGCTCCTATGCAAAATCTGCCTTGTGCCTTCCTTTTTCCTCACATTTCATTTAAACTCCCCTCCCACTTGGTCATCTTAATATCCTACTAGGGCCCTATTCTTTTGATACGGCCTTCCTGACCATTCTAAAACTGGTTCCTTACTCTATTGATTGCCTACAACATTTTCCACATCTACTACTTTGATTCCTGTATTAGTCTGTTCTCACACTGCTAATAAAGACATACCCGAGATTGAGTAATTTATAAAGAAAAAGAGGTTTAATGGACTCACAGTTCCACACAGCTGGTGAGGCCTCACAATCATGGCAGAAGGCAAAGGAGGAGCAAAGGCACGTCTTACATGGGAGCAGGCAAGAGAGCATGTGCAGGGGGAACTGCCCTTTCTAAAACTGTCAGATCTCATGAGACTTATTCACTATTACAAGAACAGCATGGGAAAAACCTGCCCCATTGATCCTATTACCTCCTACCTGGTTCCTCCCATGACACATGGGGATTATGAGAGCTGCAATACAATATGAGATTTGGGTGGGGACACAGCCAAACTATATCATTCCACTTCTGGCCCCTCCCAAATCTCATGTCCTTACATTTCAAAAACAATCATGCCTTCCCAACAATCCCCCAAAGTTTTAACTCATTCTAGGATTACCTCAAAAGTCCACAGTCCAAAGTCTCATCTGAGACAAGGCAAATCCCTTCCGCCTATAACCCTGTAAAATCAAAAGCAAGTTAGTTACTTCCTAGATACAGTGGGGGTAGGGTACAGGTATTGGGTAAATGCACCCATTCCAAATTGGAGAAATTGGCCAAAATGAAGGACTACAGGCCCCAGGCAAGTCTGAAATCCAGCAGGGCAGTCAAATGATAAAACTCCAAAAGGACCTCCTTTGACTTCATGTCTCACATCCAGATCATGCTGATGCAAGAGTTGGGCACCCACAGCTTTGGGCAGCTCCACCCCTGTGGCTTTGCAGGGTACAGCCCCCCTCCTGGCTGCTTTCACAGGCTGGCATTGAGTGTCTATGGCCTTTCCAGGTGCACGATGCAAGCTGTTGGTGGATCTACTACTCTGGGCTCTAGGGAATGGTGGCCCTCTTTTCACAGCTCCACTATGCAGTGCCGCAGTGGGGACTCTGTGTAGGGGCTTCCACCCCACATTTCCCTTCTGCACTGCCCTAGCAGAGGTTCTCTGTGAGGGCTCCAACCCTGCTGCAAACTTCTGCCTAGACATCCATGCATTTCCATACATCCTCTGAAATCTAGGTGAAGATTTCCAAACCTTAATTCTTGACTTCTGTGCACCCACAGGCTCAACACCACATGGAGGCAGCCAAGGCTTGGGGCTTGCACCGTCTGAAGCAACGGCCTGAGCTGTACGCTGGCCCTTTTAGCCACTGCTGGGACACAGGGCACCAAGTCCAGGGGACTTCACAAAGCACCAAGGCCCTGGGCCTGGCCCACAAAACCATATTTTTCCTCCTAAGCCTCCTGGCTTGTGATGGGAGGGGCTCCCTAAAGACCTCTGGCATGCCCTGGAGACATTTTCCCTAGTGTCTTGGTGATTAACATTTGGCTTCTTGTTACTTATGCAAATTTCTGTAACTGGATTGTATTTCTCCTCAGGAAATGGATTTTTCCTTTCTATTGCATTATCAGGCTGCAAATTTTCCAAACTTTTATGGTCTGCTTCCCTTTTAAATATAAGTTCCAATTCCAAACCATATATCTGTAAATACATAAAACTAGATTTTTTTTTAACAGCACCCAAGTTACCTCTTGAATGCTTTGCTGCTTATAAATTTTTTCCACCAAACACCCTAAATCATCTCTCTCAAGTTCAAAGTTCCACAGATCTCTAGGCCAGGGGCAAGAACATAGCAAGAGTCACCTTTATTCCAGTTCCCAAGAAGTTCCTCATCTCCATCCAAGACCCCCTCAGCCTGGCCTTTATTGTCCATATCATTATCAGCATTTTGGTTGAAGCCATTCAACAAATCTCTAAGAAGTTCCAAACTTTCCCACATCTCCCTGTCTTCTGAGACCTCCAAGTCTCTAGGAAGTTCCAAAGTTTCCTTCATTTTCCTGTCCTTTGCTGAGCCCTCTAAACTGTTCCAACCTCTGCCTCTTACCAGTTCCAAAGTCATTTCCACATTTTCAGGTATCCTTGTAGCAGTATCCCACTCTATTGGCACCAATTTACTGTATTAGTCTGTTCTCAAACTGCTGATAAAGACATACCTGATACTGGGTAATTATTAAAGAAAAAGAGGTTTAATTGATGCACAGTTCCACATGGATGGGAAAACCTCACAATCATGGCAGAAGGTGAAAGAGGAACAAAGGCATGTCTTACATGGCAGCAGGCAAGCAAATGTGTGCAGGAGAACTGCTATTTATAAAACCATCAGCTCTCATGAGACTTATTCACTATCATGAGAACAGCATGGGAAAAATCTGCCCCCGTGATTCAATTACCTCCCACCATGTCCCTCCGATTACACATGGGATTATGGGAGCTGCAATTCAAGATGAGATTTGTGTGGGGACACAGCCAAACCATATCAATTCCTATAACATATTGTCTTATATTATTAAGGATTGTTAACTCCTAAAAAAGAAAAAAAATACTGGCCTATTTGCCCTGTCATGTGTTATGAAACCTCGTCCATTCATTCAAAGAGTATTTATTAATTTTTTGTTTCAATCTTGAGCCCTCATCCTTTCCCTCTGGACTTTCTCTGTGGCATAATCATATATACTTGCAGGTCTTTAACTACCATCTACAGGCTATTAACTTTCAATAACTCCAACTCAGACCTCTCTTGAGAGATCAAGGCATGTATATCTAGTTTTCTCTCAATATCTCCTATCAAATATTTCATGGACATTTAAAATTCAACCAATCTAAAACTGAAGTCATCATCTCTCCCCCCACCCTAAACATCCACTTCATTGTTCAAGCTAGAAGCCTCATACCACCTGCCCTCTTTTATTACATCCAAATCTGATTGATCTTTCTCAACTATACCTGTTGTTCTTTGCATCTGCCACTAGTTTCGCCTATGGATATCTCTCAGCAAACTATTATCATAAGTTCCTAACTGTTCTGCCATGGAAAGTCGTAAATAAGACCAGCATTTTTTTTCTGAGACAGAGTCTCACTCTGTTGCCCAGCATGAAGTGCAGTGGTGTGACCTCAGCTCACTGCTACCTCAGCTTCCTGGGTTCAAGCAATTCTGATGTCTCAGCCTCCCAAGTCTCTGGGATTACAGGCATGTAATCCCATTGCCACCATGCTCAGTTAATTTTTTCTATGTTTAGTAGAGATGTGGTTTCACCATGCTGGCCAGGCTGGTCTCAAACTCCTAGACTCAAGTGATCCACCCACCTCAGCCTCCCAAAGTGCTGGGATTACAGGTGTGAGACAACTTGCCCGGCCTAGAACCAGACTTTTTTAAATATCCTACAAAACTCAGATGATCACACCCTTCACTACCTTTCTAACCCACCTTCTGTCATTCCACCTTGCTAACTGTGGTCTAACCACTTGAGACTCCTTTCATTTCCTCTAATACATCAGGTTCTTCCCATATCAGCCTTATACGTGCTATTTCCATACCTGGAATGTCCTTCTTTCCCCCATCCACCAAGCTGACTCCTCTGTCAGTTCTCAGCTTCACCTTCTCACAAACTAGGTTATACCATCACTAAACACTGAATACCCTTTCATGATACCTATCACATTCAATATTATCTTTGTGTATTTTCCTCTTTCCCACTAGGGACAAAAACACTGCTGTCTTGCTCACTACTATATTCCCTGGACCTCAAAAAGTGTCTGGCAAGTAATAGGGGCTCAATAAGTATTTGTTGAGTGAGAAGTTAATAATCTAACCAACTATTTCATAATTTCATACTATGTCTGCTGTAGACTAAGTGTGTCCCCAAAAATTCATGTGTTAAAACTTAATTGACTTTGCAATGGTAATAACAGGTGGGGCCTTAGGTGACTAAGTCATGAGGGTACAGCCCTAATGAATGGGATTCATGACCTTATAAAAGGTGAGAAAAAGCTGTTTACCACTACCTTCTTTGCCCTTCCATTTCTTCTGCTGTGTGAGGATACCTAGATGGTGTCATCTATGAGGAATGGGCCCTCACTAGACACCAAACATGGCTGCACTTGATCTTGGGCTTCCTCACTTCCAGAACTGTGAATAATAAATTTCTGTTGTTTATAAATTACCCAGTCTCAGGTATTTTTAAATAGCAGTATAAACAGACTAAGACAATATACTTGTATATGTTTCTTTTCTCAGTGCCTGAGTTTCCTCATCTATAAAATGCAGCCATAAACAATACCTGTCTTAAAGGGTTGTGGTTAGAATTAAATGAGTATGTAAAGAGTCAAACAATATCTGACCTATAGAAGTGTCATATGCTTTAGTTAATATTATAATGTTATTGTTTATTTTAAAAATCATCATGCAAAACAAAGCTGTTATAAGTGTATTTTGCTGAACTTTGTTACTTTTTAGACAGCTAAATGATGCACATCTTCCAATTTTCTATCCACAGATGGAAGATTGATTGCATAGAGAGGATTCTTTACAAAATTTTCTCTAAGTCCAGGTATTTTCAATACTTTTTTCTGGTAAGAACATTTAACATGAGATTTATCCTTTTAGCAAATTTTTAAGTGTACAATACAGTATTGTCAACTACAGTTACAATGCTGTACAGCAGAACTCTAAACTTAATCAGCTTGCATAAGTTAAACTTTATTCTCATTGTTAAAAGATAAACTTTGGCATAAACTTTTAAAGAGTTTATTTGAGCAGACAGGATTCATAAATTGGGCAGCTTCAAACTAGAAGCAGTTCTGGGGCTCTATCCAGGGGCATGAGGAGAATGCTTTTATAGGGTAAAGATGGAAGCAAGCCAAAGAAAATATTTGATTGGTTAAAGAGGAGCGGTATCCTTATTTGGATCATTCCAGTGGAAAGTCCGTATTTAGAGGTGAGTTGGTGCTTTCTGATTGGTTAAGACAATTTATGCAGAGTTGGGCTTCAGTTTGCTTACACAGGAACCCAGGGCACTGGAGCCATCTGAGTCTACCAGCCACACAATTAATTATTTTAAACCATTTAATAGCAGCTCCCCTTCCTCGCCACTCTCACCTCCTGGTAGCTTCCACACTACTCTCTCTGTGAGTTTGAATATTTTAGATATCTCATATAAATGAAGTCATGCCATATTCATCCGTGTCTGACTTATTTCAGTACAATGTCCTTCAAGTTCATCCATGTAGTCACATATAGCAGAATTTCTTTCTTCTTTCTTTTTTTCCTTTTTGCAGAGAAAAAGGTCTCACTGTGTTGCCCAGGCAGGTGTCGAATTCCTGGCCTGAAGTAATCTATCCACCTGCCTATGTCTGCCTCCCTAAGGGATAGGTTTACAAGTGTGAACCACTACACTCAGCCAGAATTGATTTCTTTCTTTCTTTTTCTCTTTCTTTCTTTCCTTCCTTCCTTTTCTTTTTTTCTTTTTTTTTTTTTTTTTTTTTTGACGGAGTCCCGCTCTGTCGCCCAGGCTGGGGTGCAGTGGCGTGATCTCGGCTCACTGCAAGCTCCACCTCCTGGGTTCACGCCATTCTCCTGCCTCAGCCTCCCAAGTAGCTGGGACTACCGGTGCCCACCAACACGCCCTGCTAATTTTTTGTATTTTTAGTAGAGGCGGGGTTTCACCGTGTTAGCCAGGATGGTCTCCATCTCCTGATCTTGTGATCCGCCCGCCTCCGCCTCCCAAACTGCTGGGATTACAGGCGTGAGCCACCGCGCCTGGCCTCCTTCCATTGTATTACATTGTTTACATATACCATATTTCCTTTATCCAAAATTTTAGTTAAATTTTTGACTTACAAATGTAAACTCCAAGTGAAGTATATATTAATAAAAATTCCTTTAAGTGTTTCTTCTATTATTTTTCAAATGCCTCTTAAAATTGATATGGTAAAATTTTAAATCATTCTACTAGATTTGTTCTTCAATATATTAAGTCACTGTTGTGTTATCATGAAAAATATAACTTAGTAAATTCTGCCTCTGCTACACGTTCTCTTGTCAAAATGTTTGTTATTTTTAACATTATGTAAACCTTAAGGAATGATGGATTTTGTCCCATCTGTTTGAGGAAAAAAATCTTTGATGTTGGAATTTGAAAATAAAATAATTATTACATTTTCTCACCCTCACATGCCAAGAACTCACCAAAATCTTGTCACTTGGCATAAAGTCTCTAAACACTTATCAAGGATGTTAAATCATGCTTATAATATAGTTTTATTATGGCTGCTGCTTATAGAGTGAGGGGTATCCTAATATGCCACCCATAATATGTCACTTTGGCAGAGGCAATTGAGAATCAACAGATGCACAAAGAAGTTTCCCTTATCTGACTAATAGCAGCATATTCTGAGAAATAGGGCTACCATAAATTTCTTCTTCAAGATGGATGTAACCTTAGAAGGGAGGTGAATAAAACCTACATCAAATCCCTTCTCTAGTGAAGTTTTATGGCCCTGAAAGAGAGGAAAAGACTATTCAAACCTATACAGACAAATATTACCACGTTCTTCTTCCATTTCTTCTCCTAAAAAGAGAAGATCTATTTATCTTTCCCATATATGTCTTTTGTCCCCACTCCCTTTCTCCTACTAAGGTAGGTATATGAGTCTCTAACCATTTAAGGAGCTGTCTTTTGTGGGCTCCCATATGCATACAGAAAAATTATTTCTCTTGTTAGTCTGTCTGTTGTCCATTTAATTCACAGACCCCAGGAAATAAACATAGCAGAGTAGAAGAAAAGTTGTTTTCTTCTCCTACAAGGGTTAAATTGTATACTCCCAAATAACAAAATTAAATAATAGACTAATAATCATGTTGACCTTTAAGTTCTTGCCATGTGACTGCCTTTTGGAAGAAATCACTTAGAAACCAAATTAATCTATTTGATACATTAACATAGCACTTTGCTGGATGAGACCCAACATTGATCTGAGTGAGATCAAAGTCTATTCTGTGCAGGTAGTGCTAACACACAAGCAAGCCTCATGTCACTTTTAAAAAGGACAGTCTCCATATTGGCCATGCTCATGCTTAGGGAAGGAATCGTCCTGGCTAGCAACCCCTACTGTCCATGCAGCTCATGGCCAATCGTGTTTTTGCTATGTTTGGCCCCTCTTCTAACACACTGTCAAATGTCCTCTGTCCCTATGTCCACTGTCATCTACAATTTTTCTTTTAAATATTTAGGGCCCTGCAGACACAACCCCAGACATCTGATACATAAAATATGCCCTTTATATATATTTCATTTTCAACTCACCTGGGCTTTAAAGTTAACAGTGTGAAGGATTTTGCAAATAGATAAGGGAGAACATTTTTCCTTCTAGTTCTAGGTAGCATTTCTTACTCTCATCCTATCTAAAAGGGAAAATGTATAGCAATAAACATGTTACCTTGTTCTTTTTACTTGGGCCTTTTTTTTTTTTTTTTTTTTTTTTTTTTGAGACAGAGTCTTGCTCTGTCGCCCAAGCTGGAGTGCAGTGCAGTGGCGCGATCTCCGCTCATTGCAAGCTCCACCTCCTGGGTTCACGCCATTCGCTTGCCTCAGCCTCCCGAGTAGCTGGGACTACAGGCACCCACCACCACACCCGGCTAATTTTTTTGTATTTTTTTTAGTAGAGACGCGTTTTCACCATGTTAGCCAGGATGGTCTCGATCTCCTTATCTCGTGATCCACCCGCCTTGGCCTCCCAAAGTGCTGGGATTACAGGCGTGAGCCACCGCGCCCAGCCACTTAGGCCTTTTTTTACTCTCTGAAATGTAGTGCTTCAAACACTAAGTATTTGGCTTTAAAGTTAGCTTGTTTTGTAATATTAAAAGGACAGAAGCAAAATTAAATATGAGAGGCTACTAAATACAGAGCTCCAGAAAAGCTACATGAATGTGTTTTGCCCCATTAAACCCCAATAATGCAGTAATGTTGTTAATGGCTTGGAACTGCTGTTGGGATATGATTCCAATAGGACTCATTTGATCAGCAAATTATGTCAAAGAACACAAACAAGTGACTTTAATAAATGGAGCATCTTTAAACCTTTTAATTGCTTGTGAAACTTAAGTCTGGAAGCAGTAAAATTGTAACCAAAAATACATGACAATTTTAGTTACTTTTCTGCTTTCAAAGAAATAAAATAATTGTCTCATACCTACCTCACACAACAAAGCTTTCTGTTGATCATCTATCTAGAATCTTTGTGTTTTCAGTTAATAAGAAGCAGTAGTATTTAGAATTATTCCTTAAGGGTCTGACTGCCAGTTCTACTTAGAAGAAGGATATGAAATTGGAGAGTCTTATTCAGTATTGACCATAAAAGCCCTTTGTTCCCCATGAATTAAGGTTCCAGGAGTCATCATTAGTCATCCGATGAGCTTTACATGTGCGTTGCTGGACATTGGTACATACACCAGTCTGGAAGACACTCTCCATTCTATAAAATCCCATCTTATCTAACTTAGGACATGTCTATATAATAGACCTATTTGTGCATTTTGAATCCATTGGCCTTATAAATCTATTTAAATTGAATAGCATTGAGATCTTTCAAACAAAGTATGCCTGCAGTAAATGCTGTAGAAGTAAAATAAGTGGGTCACACACCAATTGCCTGTATTCTACAATGTAGAACAGTGAAGGAGAGCAGGCCCAGCAGTGCTGAGGCATAGCAAAGCTTACAATGGGGTTTCTTTCGAGAATGTGTGAGCTGCTTCTTGCGCTGCACTCTAAATACCATGCAGAAGGTCAGGATTTAATTTGCCAGCCTTCCATCGAAGGGTAATTTGAAGCCTGCTTCTTATAGTCTCCCATCCCCCAATGTGATGAAATTTAGCCCATAGAACATATTTCCATGAGAAAGAGGCATCTGTATTTCTGCCATTACACAGGCGTCACCTCAGCATTCCTTTCTACCTACCAAAAACTTTTGGAAAAAGGGATTCATTTAATCTCCTTTTTAATGTGACCCAATATGTTTTCACAAATGGGAGATTTTCTCAAATGTGGCATTCATAACACTCTGTGTGGGTTTGTGTGGCATGAGTAAATCAAACAGGAACCTCACCATTTTGACAGTCTGATTTAACTGGACCATTTTAAAGCACTAAAGCAGCCAAGAGCAAACACAGACAAGCCAACCAAGGAATTTTTAAGTTGGTCCAATTGAACCACATGTTTATTCACACAGACAACCTCCATCACCTGAAAAACTCCGAATTTAATTATATTCCATGGTTTTAAGGATTTCATTAGAGATTTTTAAAGACAAGAGTTACTCTGTACCCTACCTATCAAAAGAAATATTTGTGGTTAGCAGAGCTGCGCCTGCATGATCTAGACCCATCATTGCCACTCTTAATCACTACATCATCATCAAAAAATCCCGACAGCATGCTTGGGCCAGTACTAGACATAATTGTTTGGTTAATTCCATAGGAAGCTTGATTCACTGAATTTAATTGGAACCAATCTACGCTATTGGTTTTCTCTTTAAGCACTAAGAGGCAAATGAGCCCATTGTGTTTCATGTAGAATAATCAGCTTATAATCTGTTCATTTAAGCAGAAGGCTGACTTAGACAGACTAGCTTTGACCAGACTTACTCAACCACGATGAAATCAACTTCCATCCCAGTTCTACAATGTGGTGACTTTGTATCTGATACCGCAGTCTTTGTGTTGCCAGCGCTTAGTCCTCTGAAGATGTACTTCAGTCTACTTGAGGATCCCAAAGAGATGACCAAGAAAACAAGCTCACTTCAGAACAGTTAGCAATTTTCCAGCTACTTTAAGAGATAAGAGAAATTCTCTCATACCTTTCAGTCAGCTGTTAAGTTTCATGGTCCATGTAAAGGGAGGAATTGGTTACTGAAAAATCAAAGGATCTCTTTACTGCCAGTGCAACTATGTAGAACTAGGAAATCTATAACCAAAATGAATTATGATACAGAAACACAGATCTTTTGTTCTCTGAACTCCACAAAAACACTGAACAACAAAAAAAGAAACTTTGGACAAAAAAAAAGTATAGGTTAAAAGGGGGAAGAATTTATTTGGCCAAAGGGAAGAAAAGAAAAACTGACTCCAAGAATACCTGATACATGAAGAGTTTCTTCTTTGTGATATCTTAGTTATTGACCTCAATGAACCAAGAAGCCAGGGAATGAAGAGCTCTTAAAACATTTTCTACTTCAAAGAATCCAAAATTCTATATTCAAACATGACGATATAATAGACTTGAAAATAGTATAAACAATTTTTTTGCATCAATTTAGCAAACACAGTGATGTGTTGCTTAACAATGGGGATACATCCTAAGAAATGCATCGTTAAGTGAATTCATTGTGCAAACATCATGGAGTGTACTTACAGAAAGTAGATACAGAACCTACTACACACATAGGCTATACAGTATAGCCTATTCTCCTAGGCTACCAACCTGTGCAGCATGTTACTGTACTGAATACTTATAGGCAATTGTAACACAATACTAAGTATTTGCATCTCTAACCATATCTAAACATAGAAAAGGTACAGTAAAAATAAACTATAAAAGATAAAAAATGACGCGACTGCATAGGGCACTTAAATGGAGCTAGCAGGATGGAAAGTTGCTGTAGGTGAGTCAGTGAGTGAGTGGTGAGTGAATGTGAGGACCTAGGACTCTAGACTTTATAAACACTGTACACTTAAGCTATACACATTTACTTAAAATATTTTTTCAATAATATATTAACCTTAGCTTACTGTTACTTTTTTACTTCATAAACTTTTAAATTTTCTAACTTTTTGACTATTTTCTAATCATACAGCTTAAAACACAAACACATAGTACAGCTGTACAAAAATATTTTTTTCTTTATATCCTTATTAATATAGTGTGGACATTTGTCCCCTCCAAATCTCATGTTGATATGTAATCCTCGATGTTGGAGGCAGGGCCTGGTGGGAAGTGTTTGTATCAGATTCCTCATGAATGGCTTGAGCTATCCCCTTGGTGATAAGTGAGCTCTAACTCTAAGTTCACATGAGATCTGGTCATTTAAAAGCATGCAGTACCTCCCCCATGCCCCACTCTCTCTCTCGCTCCTGCTTTCGCCATGTGACGTGACTGCTGCCGCTTCACTTTCTGCCATGATTGTAAGCCTCCTGAGGCCTCGCTAGAAGCTGAGTAGATGCACGGGCCATGCTTCCTGTAAAGTCTACAGAACCGTGAGCCACTTAAACCTCTTTTATAAATTAGCCAGTCACAGGCATTTCCTTATAGCAATGTAAGAATGGCCTAATACACTTATTCTATAAGCTTTTTTCTATTAAATTTTTTTTTTACTATTTAAACTTTTTTGTTAAAAATTAAAACACAAACACACACACATTGGCTTAGGCCTACACAGGGTCAGGATCATCAATATCACTGTCCTCCACCTCCACAATTTGTCCCACTGTGAGGTCTTCAATGGCAATAACATGCATGGAGCTGTTATCTCCTATGAAAACAATGCCTTCTTCTGGAATTCCTCCTGAAGAACCCTCCTGAGGCTGTTTTACAGTTACTTTTTTTTAAAAAAATAATCAGAAGGAGTACACTCTAAAATAACAAGTATAATATAGTAAGTACATAAACTAGAGTCATTTATTATCATTATCAAGTATTATGTACTGTACATAATTGTGTGTGCTATGCTTTTATACGACTGACAGCACAGTAGGTTCATTTGTGCCAGCATCACCACAAAGACCTGAGTAATGAGTTGCACTGTGATGTTAAGATGGCTACAACATCACTAGGTGATAGAAATTTTTCAGCTCCAATAAAACTACCATCACATATGTGGTTCGTCATTGACCAAAATGCTGTCGTGCAGTGCACGCTTTATTTTTAAGAGCTTATCACATATTCAGCTATGTTCATCTTCAACAATGTAATACTTTAGTGCTCTGTAAAAATTCTCTTTGTAATTCTATTCCTTGAGAGTCATGATACCTGCATTCTGCCTTAGCTCTTTCACTTTGTATATATGAGTATTTATGTCACTTACATGTCGTAAAATCCGATTTCTCATATTCTTTTCAGCTCAGGACCTAAAGCCAAAAAGACCTAAGTTTGAATCCTGTCCCAGATATGTAACAACTGTAATAAAATAACACATTTTAAACTTCTATAAGCTTCAATTTGCCCATGTGCAAATGACGATAATAATAGTATTTTCCTAATAAGGTTAGTATGAAGACTAAATGAAACAATGCGTGTAAAAGAACTTGTAATGCAGAAGTCATAGTAAATGTAAAATAAATCTTATTATTCTTATATAAGTGAAAACACATATGTTTTTGCAAAGTATTAATTTCTGCCGTTACGGATGTTATATCCTCGTGGGGGCGGCAGGCAATAGATAATATAATTCCAGGTAGTGGTAAGTGCTGGGCAGGAAAATAAAACGGGAGAAAAATGTCAGACAGCTGTGTGGAAGGTTGTTCTAGACAGGGAAGACCATTCTGCTGGGGCAACATGTGCACAGAGATCTGCCTGGTGCGCAGACATCAGCCATGCTTACATCTGGAGGCAAAGTCCAAAAGGCCCCAAGAAAAATATTTAGTCCCCAAGGAGGAAATTAACTTGGGGAAAAGGGAAAATATCTATGGTGGAGTCAGAGGAGAGAAGGGTCACCTAAGAGGAATCAGGCCAACCTTACAGGCCATAGGAAAGACTTTCTATTGAACTTAACTTTGGAAAGCCATTGAGCAATTTTGAGCAAGAGCAGAACTTGATCTCATTTATTTTTAAAGATCATTCCAGGGGCTGCCTTCAGTTACTCTATTACAAATCATAGCTGTACTTTTTGGTATTCTTTCTATCTTTCTTGTACTTTTGTGTCCCTTTACCCAAACACCAATTTTCTTTCTGAAAAGGCTCCTGGGTCTATCTCAAAACATCACCAGGAGAAAAATAAATTTATATTTCTGACTGGGAAATAGGCTCGGTTTTAGTACGTCTTAGGATAAAATTGTATTTTTTGGAATGGAATATGCTACACTGACATTTTTAAGATTAAACTGTATCGTTTTAGTTATGCCAATACAGCTTTTAAATAAGTTTTCTCCATATCGTTATCAATATTTACCATATTTCTCAAATATTCATATGAATGTATTCATTTGGAAATTTTTGGGAGCTAATTACCACAATTATACCTGTAAAAACTTGTATGTCCTCTAATCACAATGCTGCAAGTTTATAACTGTTTTTAACATTAGTGTTTATATAATTTATTTTTAAGGTATAATTTCATATTCTCTGGTTTATTTAGCACTTGATCAAGACCCAAGGAGTCAGTTTAACTGACTGTGTGACAGCAAATTTCTTAACCATTTATGACTTTGGTTTCCTCATCTACAAAATAAGGATACTAGATTGAAAGTGATGGGGTTATTTTTCCTTCCACAAATGTTATTGTAAGCATTCAACCAAGCATTTATATATAAATTGTATGCCATTTATTCATTTACTCGGCTAGTCTTTTCATTTAGTCTGGCTTTCCAATACTTCCCTTAACTTTTGATATTTTAATTTTTCATATAGTCTCTTCTTTCTTAGTTAGTATCTGACTAGCTTCATATAGAGTAAAAATAAATTTTAAAAATTTTAATTATGTGCTGGTTTTTCTTACATTCCCCAAAATTAGCTTTCTTAATTTCCCTATATGACAATATATTGCCCATAGATTATCAATTGAAAATTAAATCTTAAATAAGTCCTTGGGAAATAATGTAATGGCATTATATCATTACTGAATAAACCAATTTTGCCTAAAATTGGCTCCTAAACATTATGATTTTGGACTTACACCAAGTCTTAGGCTCTGAAATGGCACTCCCTCCAAAGCTACTCAGATGGTCTAGATTCTAGACTAAGAAAAGAATGGAAGAGAAGAGAATACTCCAAATGCTGCTGTGTTTCTTTGCCCCTATTTTAGGAGCCTAGATCTAAAGATTTCTTAATTTCCCTTCTACTTCTATGATAAGGTACCTACAAAAGTTGGAGTTAATCCAAAGAAAAGCAATCATTGGTAGCAGATTTAGTAAAAGGAGATCTTAAAAGGCTAACTACTCAATAGTAACAAAAAAGGGGAAATTAAGCAATGCTCACTACATGTCTGGAAAATATTAAATGATGCAGAACAATGGGAAATTTATACAGGGTATAAAAGCATAAATCAGGAGTCAATGAAAGGGACATATAAGCAGACTAGATTCTGGACGAGCATTTCTCAACTCTCACATGCTGTGTCTCATGGTGTTGCTGGGAATGTTCTCGGAACTGTGGAATTTTTCAGTGTGAAAAACTCATTTCTGTTAGAAATGCAGCTACATAATATTATAATGTGAGCACTTAGAGTAGACTTGACGAAGTGGGATACAGCTAGCACTAAGGAAAAGATAAGAAGGCATAATGTCCAAACAATATTGAAGAAAAATTATGTATTTACAAGACTAGACAAGAAATTTGCTTTGTGACTATAAGACAGAATGTAGAACAGCAAAGAGTTTTTCTCAAAGGCACGGTTCAGAAAAGCAATCAAATAAATAATGTACTATCTATGGATGCTTTTCTAAAGTCTGTGAGATCTTGTTATAAGCAGAAATGTTTTTATTGTAAATTTTTCTGATTTGTTTTGAGACTTTCAAGTGTTACAAATTTTCAGCAACAGTTGTATTCAAAAGGGTGTCCCACACACAAAAAGGCTGTCAACCAATTACATAGAAGAGTGATTTTAATTCAGGGTGGGGGAGATAAGCATCACCACATCCCTAGTTTCTTACATATAGCCCAAGCGACCAGGCCACCATGATTTTTCCCAGAATTATTGATGTGTTGAAGCAAAAAAATTATTTTTTTTTTGTTTTTTTTTTTTTGAGACAGAGTCTCACTCTGTCGCCGAGGTTGGAGTGCAGTGGCACAATCTCGGCTCACTGCAAGCTCCGCCTCCCGGGTTCACGCCATTCTCCTGCCTCAGCCTCCCGAGTACCTGGGACTACAGGCACCCGCCACCACGCCCAGCTAATTTTTTGGTTTTTTTTTTTTAGTAGAGATGGGGTTTCACCATGTTAGCCAGGATGGCCTCGATCTCCTGACCTCGTGATCCACCCACCTCAGCCTCCCAAACTGCTGGGATTACAGGCGTGAGCCACCGCGCCCAGCCAATTAAATTGTTGTAAGTTTGAGAAAAATGTGCTCTAAAAAATATTTCTAACATTGTAATCAATCTGTGTGTTAGTCCTTTCTCACACTGCTATAAAGAGTACTACCTGAGACTGGGTAATTATAAAGGAAAGAGGTTTAATTGACTCACAGTTCCGCAGAGTGAACAAGAAGCATGGCTAGGAGGCCTCAGGAAACTTACAATCGCGCAGAAGGTGAAGGGGAAGCAGGAGCCTTCTTCACAAGGCAACAGGAAGGAGTCTGTGCAAGAACAAGGAAGTGCAACACTTTAAAACCATCAGCTTTCATGAGAACTCACTCACTATCAGGAGAACAGCATGGAGGAAACCGCCCCCATAATGGAATCACCTCCCACCTGATCCCTCCACTGACACATAGGTATTACAATTCAAGATGAGATTTGGGTAGGAACACAGAGCCAAACAATATCAATCTGTGATTACCTGATTAGCTTTAAAAAAAAAAAAAAAAAACCACATCATGAAATTATTTAAAACGAAATTGAAGGGATCTGTAGACCATATGTCCTGGCAATTAAACTGTTCATAAGAAATAGTAATGAGTCTATAAACTATAAGTTTTTTCCTTATTATTCAAAGATAATATAATTTTGCATTTAGTTATGTCACTTCAGGCTCTAACTAACTTATTGAAATGTAACTTTATTTAAAGAGTCATATTACAATTTGCACAGAAGCTTTTTTTTTTTTTTTTTTTTTTTTTTGAGACGGAGTCTCGCTCTGTCGCCCAGGCTGGAATGCAGTGGCGCGACCTCGGCTCACTGCAAGCTCCGCCTCCCAGGTTCACGCCATTCTCCTGCCTCAACCTCCCGAGTAGCTGGGACTACGGGTGCCCACCACCATGCCCGGCTAATTTTTTGTATTTTTAGTAGAGACGGGGTTTCACTGTGTTAGCCAGGATGGTCTCGATCTCCTGACCTCATGATTCACCCGCCTCGGCCTCCCAAAGTGCTGGGATTACAGGCATGAGCCACCACACCTGGCCAGGATAACATGAATTTTTTTAGGAAGCAAATAGATTATATGAGATAAGATGATAAAGGAAGTTTTATTTTACCTACTCATATAAGAGTCTTCTTTTTAATCTAATTCTGAAGGAGAATTTTGCCTGAAGAAAAGAAATGTAATTAAATGGTAAATTTAAGCCATCTTAGGTGCCCATACACATTGTCCATATTTAATTGCTTAATCTGATTATATTCTAGAATACTTTTAAAATTGTTAATATTGTGAAACATCCTGAATGATGAAAAGAGGTTTTATAATATTGCTACTCTTAATGAATGTTTTACAAATGTTCAGTGCTTAATAAGGTTTCAGGTAAGAAAAAAATACAAGGGAAATGATAAGAATAGCTGTTCCGTTGAGAATTATACAATATCTAATTTGGATAACACAGTGACTTAGTCTTAATTTGTTCCAACATTCACTTGTACATTAGAATGAACAGCTGGTTAATTTAATAACTTCTGTTATAATTCATTTGCTTCTTTGTTATAATTTTTGTCTGCTTGTTGTTTGTCACTTAATACCATGGAAATATTTAATTCTTAATATAAATATAACATTTAAAAATTGCACAAATATTTCCTTCTTCATGAAACAAAAAAAAATGTTTCTAGTATTTGGATTATTCTCATGTGATTGTAGCTCTCAATAAATTGAAATCTCATTTCTGACTTCTAAAACTTTTCCAAAGAACATAAAATTGGGCAAAATTATTTCATTCTGATTCCACAATTCTACTACTAAAATTAGGTTCTTATTTATTTGTTCATTTTAGTTATGGCATAAAGTCAAGATGACCTATTTGTGAAAGTTTCTTCCATTTCTTTCCCAAAGCAGGCCCTTATAGACAACAATAGTTTCTCTCGTCTCTTTATTTTTTTAAGGTCTCTGATGAAATTCTGTTGCTTTTATAACTAAATTCTTGAAGCATAAAGTCCGGTGTGCCAGAAAGCATTTACAGGAGTAAGTATAACACCTCAAACATTATGATATGGGACGGAACTGTTAGGTACATAGAAGAGTCCTCGTTAACTGGATCTGCAGTTCAATCAATGCACTATAATCCAACTGTTTCAAATTATTAACGGGAGACTTTAAAAACCATAGTTTATTAGAAAGGTGCATATGAGACCTTAGACATATTTCCTCTAACTACTAATCTGTAGCTTGGTATTTTAATTTCTTGTACCAATAAAATCATGAATGCCTATGGAAAGCAATTGTTGAGTAAAATAATATGTTATTGGCTATCATAATATTGTTCATCTACTAAGCAAATTAATATCTATAATAGGCAGTAGATTAATATCTTTAATACACCTAAACCAGTAAGTAGAAAAATCACCAAAGATTATTATTAGGACTCTCTCTCTCTCTCTCTCTCTCCTTCTTTCTCTAGGCTTGTGGGCCTAAATAAAGAAAACATGCTTCTCTCTATACCATATCATATTATTTATGGAAATTCTTTTTTATCCTATCCTGACAGTAACCAAAATCATTGCCTCAACTCTCCCTTCTGTTTTGACTGTGAAGTTTTGGTTTTTAACAGTAAGTATAACTTAGGAATTAACCAAGTTGGAAAATTTTTATTTGTCATTTATCTTCCCTTTTAGTTTTTGAAAATTCTTCTAAATGTGTTCTGTGTTTTGTTTATTTAGCAGTCAAGAAAAATTGCATAATTTTTAAATGGAAATAACTGAGAAATTCTGAAATCATTAAGGGATTTCAAAATGTGGAAACTTTAAGAACAGAAATGTTCTGGACTAAATATCTAAACAGGAAAGCTAACAAACTGATTTTTTTCATTTCTGTATTTTATTTTATTTTTTATATTCAAGTTGTCTTCTGTGAAGGATGACAGAATGTTAGATCTCAGCGAGATCTTAGAGGCCACCTAGTTCGGCCTCTCATCGCTCAAACATGAGAACTGAAATCATGAAAGCTACGTAACTTGATTCAATTATATAACCAATTGATGACCAATTTGGCACTAGAACACCGTGTTCTTTCCACTCAACCCCAACTTGAATGAACTAATTAACTTCTTTGAAAAGAGTTATAATTCTGTTTGCTTTTATACACTCATCCCAAGGGTCTAATGTTCCAAGAAAGCTTGCTCTCCTCCCGGTTACCTTTACAAGACACCTTGGGTAGATTTTCAGTAGACACATCCTTCTTCCCTTCTTAAGGTAAGAATGGAAGGGTGGAATTGTTATCTACCATATCCTACCTTTTTATCTATGGACATTGTGCCTTCTCTGAGATCTCTTCAATATATTCCAATGAACTAGCATCACCACCAGGCATTTTAAAATGACTTTGGGAGTGGTGCAGAGGCAAGATGATAGCAAAAGAGAAGGTACTGAAATGTAGGAGGTTATCAGGAAATAAAATGAAGTGCAGATAAATGAAGAACATCCAGATACAATTACATTTGAAACCAATAAATCTAAGGTAATAGAAATACATTTGTGTGGATGTTCCATCTGGAAAATTAGGTCAAACCATTTAGTCCATTAAATCACAATAATTTATCCAATATTTTGCTTGCTAAGGAAGTAAAGAAGGAATTTTTAATGCCAAATATATGGCTAAATACTCTGTTCCAGAACATTTTGTAATCATGTTTTGATTGCACAGTTTCAGAGAAACTGCTTTTCCTATCCAAATCCACTGCTGTTAACTCCTTAAAATTATATCCTGTTTCTGTCTTAATAACTTCCCCACTCCCACCTTCCCCCTTCCTCTAAGTGAATACTCTCCTGTTTTGCTTCTGCCTCTCCTAATTTATCTCACAGAGTTCCTTGCCAGGATCTTCTGCTCCTCTTGGTACTCAACTGGTAGTGAGAATTTTACCTCACAGTTTCATCCCCATGTTACTGAATCCCAACCTGAGCACCTCGTTTCTTTTTTTTAAATTTCAGTAGTTTTGGGGAAACAGGTGTTTTTTAGTTACATGGATAAATTCCTTGGTGGCAATTTCTGAGATTCTGGTGTGCCTGTCACCCGAGCAGTTTATACTGTACCCAATGTGTGGTCTTTTATCCCTCAACCCCCTCCCACCCTTCCCCGAGTCCCCCAAAGTCCATTATATTATTTTTATGCTTTTTTACTCTCATAGTTTAGCTCCCACTTATAAGTGAGAACATACGATATTTGGTTTTCCATTCCTGCGTTACTTTCCATAGAATAATGGTCTCCAACTTGACCCAGGTTGCTGCAAATGCAATTATTTCATTCCTTTTATTAGCTGAGTAGTATTCCATGGTGTATATATACCACATTTTCTTAATCCACTCTTTGGTTGATGGGCATTTAGGCTGTTTCCATGTTTTTCCTATTGTGAATTAGTACCCTGTTTCTTACTACAGAGTAGTTCTATATTTCCAGCTGCCTAAAGGGCATCTTCTCTTGGAAGGGCAACCATTAAACAATCAACACACAAGGCCAGGTGCGGTGGCTCATGCCTGTAATCCCAGCACTTTGGGAGGCCAAGGCTGGCAAATCACTTGAGGTCAGGAGTTCAAGACCAGTCTGGCCAACATGGTGAAACCCCAACTCTACTAAAAATACAAAAATTAGCCAGACGTGGTGATGGGCGCCTGTAACCCAAGGCACTCAGGAGGCTGAGGCAGGAGAATCATTTAAACCCAAGAGGCCGAAGTTGCAGTGAGCTGAGATCACACCACTATACTCCAGCCTGGGTGACAGAGTGAGACTCCGTCTCAAAAAAAAAAAAAAAAAAACCACAATCACTACTGAGGAGACAAGGGTGCAGAATTTTAAAGAAAAATAAGAAAAAAGCCCTAACCTCAAAGTACTTAAAATTATCTGTAGATCACAATAGATGGACTAACAGAGAAACTGAAAATAACAAGAAGAGATTAGTGGGTGATAATATTTGAAAGGTAAGTGAGGTTGCAGACTGCAAATGTTCTCAAGACTCCAAAAATCGGTGTAAATATCAACAGGTGATGAGAGAAGACTGTCTTCTGTCTTTAGTCATTCATTAAGCAAATATATTGAGGCATGTAAGGCCTAAATATCAAGCATTCTTCTAAACACTGGGGCAGATTTTACGGTAGTGAAAAACTGCCACAAGGTTCTATTTCATATGGAGCCTTCATTCAAATGAAAAGTCAACAAATAAATAAGCGAAATAAATAAAAAAGATAATTTCATCTGGTGATGAATGCTATGAACAAAATAACTCTTAGTGATGTGACAGAGAATAACTGAATAACTGTGGAGGTTATATTTCAGCTGAGACCTGGATTCAGAGAAGGAAACAGCCATGCCTAAATGGGGCTGAATGGGGGTGGGGAAAGTACATTCTAAGCAAGGGTAATAGCAGGTGCAAAGTCCCTGAGATAGAAATAAGCTTGGCATATACAGGAGTCTCATAGGTATACAGCATAGTGTGAGAAAATGAGAACACTATGGGATGAAGTCAAGAAAGTAAAATGAGCCAGATCATGTTTTTGCCCAAATAAGAGGTTTCAATATTTATTCTGACTGTTCATGATAACAATAAATTGATAGCACTTCATTTTACAACATAAACAAATCTACTGAATATGTCATTAGAAATAGGATAACTAGCAAATAAAGCACATATTCAGAAACATAATATCTGTTAGTGTTTTAACCAGTATTCTTTAAGGCTCAGAGACATGAAGATGGTCACTAGAGAAATGTGGTATTTGCAGACTAGTGATGCTTCAACAGAAGCTAGGTTAAATATATACCCAAGCCATCTTTTGCTTAAAGCTTCAGTTTTCCACGTACTTTGACACCAGGAAGGGAGATGTCCTAGAAAAGGACTTCAGCAATTTGGTACCTGAGAGAGCCTCTTGGAAATTGGTCTTTGGATCAAATTATAAATTAATAAATTGATATTTACTTTGTTTTTCTTTTGTGGAACTCTACTTTGAATTTTCTTAGCTATATTTCATCATGTAGGAGACTAGTTAGACCTGAGTGAATTAACAAAGTTTATTCATTTATTCTACAACAAACATTGTGTTCTGATCATATAACTGATCTGATGCTGTAAGCTTCAGTTATAAGATGTATAAATAATGGCCCTACCTTCAAGGAGTTGATGGTCATGGGGAAGAGCGATGAGCAAACAAATAATTACATGACAGTGAAAACTGCTGTGTTGGAGGTAAGCAGTAGACAATGTGTGTAGAATATTGATACCCAGGAATAACTTCAAATCAAGCCAGAAAAGACAGGAAAAATGAGGGAACCCCTTGCTTAAAGACACAAATATTACAACTCATTAAACATTTTTTTTAAAAAAACTAAGAACATGGTGCTGTTGATAACCAATAAAATACAATGCAATACAATGAAAATTTTTATTTAAAAATGTATATTTGGAGAAAGAAAATCTACCTAAAATCAGTAGGTAGATTTAGTGAATGTTAGATTAACTTAAAATATTTGTCTGAAAATATTTCATGAGAAAAGTCATACCTTCTGTGATTGCTCACACATATGATGCATGTCATAGACTATGCCATCTGTTTAGCAAATCATTCATTGTCTTCTGGTTCAAGGGTAATTGTGAGATAGTGTACTGATAGCTGGAAAGTCCCTTTTCAAAGTAGTCTGGAAGAGATGCACAGGTGCAACAATTTGCAATAATATTTTTAAAACAGAATATATTCCACTCTTTCATGTCTAAATTCCTATAGAGAGCCAAAGAGAGCAAGAAGATATTTGTTAATGGATAATGCCTTTGAGGGACTTGGAGCTTATTCCTCATATGAGAACCAATCAGGCCACATTTCTCCCAGAGACCATCTTCTCTAGTTTTCACTCTGGATTAAATCTGAATTTCTGTAGAAAACAATTAGACTTAGTTTGTGCTTTTCTCTCCTTTTCATGAATAATTTAGTTTATCTGTAAATTACTAATTGGGTTGTTGATAATTTTAGATTAATATCATTAGAATTATATTTTAAGATTATAGAGATTAATATGGAATTGAAATTTCCCCTGATGCTTATTTAATTGAATGGGGCACAAAGAAGCTTTCTAAAACATCTTCAAGCAAACCCAACAAGAGCTTTAAATAAGATTACATTTTAGTCATTCTCACAAATAGTTCTGATTTTGTTCCAACATTTTAACAATTTTAAATTGTTTCAACAATTTTATGAAAAGTTTTAAACATAAAGAAAATTGGAAAAAATATTATGGTAAACACTCACATACCCACCACCTAAATACTACCATGAATATTTAACTATGTTTATTTTTCATTTATCTATTCATCTATCCATCTTTCCATTCATTAATCCATCTGATGTTTTTGATATAATTCCAAATAAATTGCTGACATCTGTACACTTCCTTTAAATACTTGAGCATGCATATTTAGAATATTTTTTAAATTTATAAGCATTGGCAAATGTATGTATTGATATAACCCAACCCTGTACAAAGACTTTATCATCCCCTCAGAAAGTTCCCTCACTCTCCTTCCCAAGGAATCCCTTCCTCTACTGCCAAGGACAACTATTGTTCTGATTCTTTCTACTATGTTTTATATTGACCTGTTTTTAAAACTTCATATAAATGGGATAATATCGTAGGTGCTTTTTTGTAAGGTATCTCTCACTTAGTATAATATTTTTAAAATGTATCATGTTAATGTGTGTATCACTTGCTTATTCTTTTTTTATTGCTGGATAATATTACATTATGTAAGTATACTACAGGCTTTCAGATACATTTCCCTATACTTCCAGGTTTTGACTATTATGCATAAAACACTTGTTTTTGTTTTCCTTGGGTAAATAGGTAGAATTGGAATTATTGTGTTATAGGGTAGGTATGTTTAGTTTATATTCAATCGTTAGATCTTTTCATGTATGAGAATTCTACTTGCTCTGCATCCTTAACAATATTTGATATTATTAGTCTTTTTAATTCTACTCATTTTGACAGATGTGTAGCCCCTTGAGGTTTTAAAATGTATTTTTCTGATGACTAATGATGTGCACTTTTTTGTGCATGTCATTCATCCATATATCCTTTTTGTGAATTTCTCTTTTCAAATCCTTTACCTATTTTTTATTGGATTGTTTAACATTTTTATTATCGAGTCATAGGAATTACTTACATAACCTGGCTACCAGTCTTTTTTTTTTTTTTTTTTCTGAGATGGAGTCTCACTCTGTCGCCAGGCTGGAGTGCAGTGGTGTGATCTCAGCTCACTGCAACCTCTGCCTCCCAGATTTAAGCGATTCTCCTGCCTCAGCCTCCTGAGTAGCTGGGACTACAGGCACGCACCACCATGCCCAGCTAATTTTTGTATTTTTAGTAGAGACCAGGTTTCACCATGTTGGCCAGGATGGTCTTGATCTCTTGACCTCGTGATCCACCCACCTCAGCCTCCCAAAGTGCTGGGATTACATGTGTGAGCCACCGCGCCCAGCCAACTTATGTAACCTGGATACCAGTCTTTTATTATCAGATATGTTTTTAAAATATTTTCTCCCAGACTTCAACTTCATGGTTCATCTGTTCTTTTGATGAGCAGCTTTTAAGTTTAACAAATTGATAATTTATAATTTTCATTACAGTTGTTACTTTCCATATCTAAGACATTTTTGCCTATGCCCAAGTCATAAAGACATTATTTTTTGATTTCCTTAAAATCCCAATGATTTAGGCTTTTATATTTAGGCCTATAAGACATTGCAAGTTAATTATTATATATGGAATAAGGTGCAGATGTACTGTCATTTTTTTCAAGATTAGTACCTAGCTATTTCAGCATCATTTATTGAAAATACCTTATTCTTCATAGTATTGCTTAGAGACTACTGTCAAAAGTCAAATGGCTGTATAAAGCATGTGCTTATTTCTGTGATATTTATTCTGTTCCATTACTCTATTGGTTGAACCTTATGCCAGTATCACACTGTCTGGATTAGTGAGAGATTTACAGTGAGTCATGAAGTTAGGTAATACGTTCTCCAACTTTGTTCTTTTCCAAGACTGCTTTGTCTATATCCAGGTCCTTTGAATTTCCATGTAAATTTTTGAATTAACTGGTCATTTTTTACCAAAAAAAAGGTCTTTGCAGTGTGTTAAATCTATAGATGTATTAGGGAGAATCAACATCTTTACAATAATGAGTCTTTCATTTCATAAACATACTATATCTCTATTTATTTAGCTCTTATTTTATTTCCCTCAGCAATATCTTGTAATTTTCAGTATAGGAGTCTTCTACACTTTTCTTAAATGTACTGCCATGTATTTCAGTTTCTGATACTGTTGTAAAATTTTCAGTTTCATTTTATGATTGCTTATTGCTTATATTTGAAAATACAATGAAGTTTGCATATTAATTTTGTAACTAACCTATGGCATTGCTAAATGCACCCATTATTTCTAAAAACTTTTCCATAGATTTTGTAGGATTTTCCTTGTAAACAATTATGTCATCTACGATTTTAAAAAAAAGCAGACTAACTTCTTCGTTTCCTCTAATATCACTATTTTTTTCTTGTTGCACTGGCTAAGACCTCCAATATAATGTTGAATATAGATGGTGAGAGTGGACATCCTTCCCTTGTAATGCAGGACATTATAAAACTGAAAAAAAGAAGGGAATAAACTCAGAATAAAAAATAATTCCCAGAAAGCATTGTTATAAGTTTTGCTTTAAAGACTATGTAATTTAAATAAATTGAAAATAAAACATTTTATATTTCAATAATACAATATTTAATATTTCTGATCCTCTTAATATTTTAGGATAACAATTTCTTTCTGGTATCATTTCTATTCAGCCTGAAGAACTTTCTTTAGCACTACTCTAGTAGAGGTAGGTTTATTGGTGATGATTTATCTTAGTTTCCTTTGATCCAAAATGTCTTTATTTCACCTTTACTCTTGAAGGATATGTTCATTGAGTGTAGAATTCTAAGTTGACAGTTGTATGTTCTTATTGTTTTACACTTTAAACATGTTGTTCCAATATATTTTGGCTTCCATAGTTTCAGATAAAAAGGTCAGTAATAATTTGAAGCAGTGGTCTCCTTTATGTAATGTATAAGTTTTCTCTGGTTGCTCTAAAAATGTTACTTATATTTGGTTTTCAGCAACTAGACTATGATAAGCAAACATTGAATTTTCTTTATATTTATCCTGCTTGAAGTTTGTCAAAATCCTTGATTACTAAATTAGGGAAACCTTGAGATATTATTTTCTTAAATATTTTTAACTCCATGATCTCTCTCCTCTCCTTCTGAGACTCTAGTTACTTGCGTATGAGATATTTTGCTCTTCCCTTACTGGTTCCTGGGGCTTTTGCTATTTTAAAAAATGTTACCCTCATTTTCAGATTAAATAATTTATATTTACCTGTCTTCAAATTTTATTGGCTCTTTCCTCTGTCATCACCTTTCTGCTGTCATTCCCAGGAAATGAATTATTAAATTTCATATATTGTCTTCTTCTGCTAGAATTTTTATTTGGTTCTGTTTTCAAGTATCTGTAGTTTTGCTGAAATTTTAAAATTTATTATGAGATTTTCCTTCAACTCACTGAGTATAATTAAAATATCTGCTTTAAGTATTTGTCTGCTAATCCCAACAACTGGGTTATCTTGTGGTTGCTCTCCGTTGATTATTTTGCTTTCTGAAAATGGATCACATTTACCGTGTTGTTAATGTCAAAGAATTTTGGATTTTATCCTGAACATTGGAAATACCATGCTGTAAAAACTCTCAATTCTTTATATTTCTCCAAATTGTTGATATTTGCTGCTTTAACAAGCAATTAACTTGGCTAGATTCCAACTATCAGTGCTGTCTCTTTGTAGCAGCTTGCATCTCAGTTTAATTATTTTATTATTAGCTTAGCTGCCTGCAGTGTGCCCCGTGCTTCTGTGTTTCAGGGTCAGGCAGGGATCTTGGCAGAATTAATACACAGAATTTGTGGTTTACCCTTCTTGTTCTCTCTTTCTGGGATTTTCTCTTCATTTTCTGGCAGTTGATGTTGCCCTAAACTTTGTCCTCTGGGAATGTAAACCCCTGATTTTTCTATCAAGGTTTCTGCCACCCTGTACAGTGTAGACCATGGCCAGTCCCTAGGTAAAAGCCATGTAAGTAGAAGACTCATTATGAGCCAGTTAATTCTTTATGAGCTACTTACTTCTAGAATATGCCTGCTTTTGTACACTGTCCGGAGCTTTCAGGTAGTGTGTGTGTGTGTGTGTGTGTGTGTGTGTGTGTGTGTGTGGTTTCTACTTGTTTAATTTTGGTTTTGATTCACTATGCAGCTGTTGCATGAGGAGGGTCAATCCACTAGGAGCTCACATGGCCTTGAAAGCCAAATTTGGTTGTCAGTTTTTGGAATTTTAAAAACCTATAGAATTGTTAAGCCTCTAGAAGAAAAATATCAATTGCAGTGTCTTAAATGTCAAGGAAAATAGATATGTGTTTAGAGAAGTCTTATTTTCTCTTGAACTAGCTCCCAGTTTACTTTCATAGCCTTCAGAAGAGTCAAAGTCATGATATGACCCCCTTGCAACATTTTATTGTAACAGTTAGTATACTTTAGACCTAGAAGGAACAGTTATCTACAGTTGAGCTAGTGTTGACATTTCAGAGACATAGATTCTGCAGAAATGGAATAGATTCAAGTGACACAGGTAAACCTTCTAATTTTGCAGATGAGAAATTGAAGACCAAATGATTATGTGATTTAAACTTTAGCATATATCAGAATCAGCTAAAGTTCACTGATGTCGCACATCCAATAAGAGCTATTTGGAACGTATCTTAGGAATTTTACTTCCATAATATATCGCTACATATTACTATCTCTCTTTTGGTTGTATTTACAGCCGTATTATTTTATGAGCTGCTAAGAATCACGGGGGGGTCTTGAGTGGTTGGTATACACAGGAAAATAAAGTCAAAAGGCATCTAGCTCTTCACCTATATGTAGCTTTGTCTCTGTCTGCTCATCTTTTAAAGAGAATTATAACACGATTCCAGGGGTAGGAAAACTTTACCTGTAAAGTGGCAGATAGCAAATATTTTAGATTTTGTGAACAACATTCCATTGTATATTATTTGTTTAACAGCCCCTTAGAAATGTGAAAATCATTCTTAGCTTTAGAGCTGTACAAAAACAGGTGGTAGACTATAGTTTGCCAACTTTTGCATATTAGAATTCCTGCTGTAAAATGTTGAAGCATCAGATGAGATAATACAGGTAGAAAACATTGTAAATCATGTTATTTATATGTGTGATATTATTAATGGTAATAGTTACCCATTGTTATTTGGAGGGCAACATAAAGGCCTGAGGGAATTGAACAGAGATAAGGTAGGTTTTCATAGGGGAATGAGGTAGGAAAATTCTAGAAAAATGGTGGGAGATACTATTTTCCAAGGAGTAGCATGATCCCAGCACTTATACCATGAGCAAGGTATGGTAGGAAACACCCACACACATGTTGATTATTTCACAATATTTTTGTAAACCCAACCTTAGCAAAAAGAATCTGGTTGCTTTGGAATTAGAGAAGAATGGCTAAAATCAGCGATCTCGTCATCTCTAGCCAAGAATATGGCATAATTTGACTTTCTCATAATTTCTTTTAATGTATTTTTTCAACAAACTTTTGAATTTCTCTCTCAGTTCCTTTTTAACTCTTATTTCATAGTCTTTCAAATTAGTATTGTAAATTTAAAGATGATCATACTCTTGAATTTTCACTACTGCCTTTTAATGAACATAAAATAATTTTGTCTAGAGGATATAAAAATACTTTATGAATCATGATTTTCTGGGAGAAACAAGCAAGTTTTCTCAAGAATGAATTCTTAATTCAAGTTCATTGACATTTATTACTGATAACATTAAAAATTACCCTAATTTTATTTATTTTTTTCTATGAACTTAAAAAGACTATTCTTAAAATAATAACATAGCATATTTTCTAGAGCAAGGGACTGAGAATTCTTACAGATCTATTACTCACTATAATAACTGGAGATTAGCAGATCACGACCCCATATGCCTGTAGAATTTCATGCACACATGCCATTTTGAGAAAAACTGGCACCATGATGGACAGTCTCTTAGTTGTGAAAAGCCTGTGCTGTAATTCATTGTTGAGTTGTAATTTCACGATATCTCTTAGTCATGCCTAAAATTAGAAGCAAATAATCAAATAACAAATACCATGCATCACAGAACAAGCTGAATAATCATGTTAAACACATTGACTAATTCTTGAACTTAACTATTTGATGAAAAGAGGCGAGCATTGAATCAACTGATGAGGCATATGAATAATAAGACTATTACATGAGTTATGGGGAAAAAAAAAGCCCTAGATCCCAGCCACAACCTACAGACAGAATAGAATAGTATCAATAGAATCTGTTAATAGAATAACAGAATACAAATCAGAAGCACAATCACAAAAATGTGTTTATGAGTCACAACCTACTCACATTTCTCATTGGAATTACTGATTTCTATGACTAACCTTGGGACTTTTAAAATGATACTGGAAATGACAAAATTACCCTTCAAAATGTAAAATACAAAAATAACTGGGTTAGCTCTTGTTTTAAAAGAAAGGCATAAAAATTACTTCTATGAAATCACGTTAACCCAAGAGGAAAAACAACAACAAAAAGAAACACTTGGAGTCATTTAATTCCTTCTCTGTCACTCTTTTTACTACATTACAGCTATCACCATATTCAACAGATTCTACTTCTAATGGTGACTACCACCTAATAATGTCTATCGAACACTTACTCTGTGTCAGGCACAGTTCTATCAACTGGGGCAGAATAGGAGCGAAAAAGTCCCATTCTCATGGAGGTTAAAATCTAATGGGAGGTGGGGGTAAGACAATTAACAAATGAAAACATAAATACATACTACATCAGTTGGGTGAGCACCATGAGGAAAAATAAAATAAAGGGATAGAGGTGACTGAGGATGAGGTGTTGGGGGTGGTGACATTTTATTTAGGTTGTTTAAGGAAGGCTTTTCTGACAAAGGGATATATTGAACAGTGACCTGAAGAAAGTGGGGGGGGGGGGCGGGGTGGAAAAGCAACCTATGCAACATTATGAGACCCTGTCTTTAAAAAAATAATAAAATTAGCTGAGTATAGTGGTGCACACCTATAGTCCCAGCTACTCAGGTGGCTGAGATAGGAGTATGGCTTGAGTCTAAGAGACTGAGGCTGCAGTGAGCTGTGATCATGCCACTGTACTCCAGTCTGGGTGACAGAGCAAGACGCTGTCTCAGAAAAAAATAAAATAAATAAAACGTGTGGGTGGGTGCATATGACAAGCAGCAAGGGCACACCAGGCAGAGGGAACACAGATCAAGACCCTCTGGTGAAAGCAAGAATGGGACATTTGAAGGAGGTGGCAGTGAAAGTCTGTGAAATGATTGGGTGTGAGGGTGTGGCATGAAGGGTGTGTGTGGCGAAAAGATGGCACCATATAAAAGGCCTGAAGGAAGACTTTGGATTTTAACTTAGGAAGCCACTGGTGCCCCTTCCCACTTCATAGCCCATTCATGTCTCAACATAACAATGCAGCATAACAATAGGCATAACAATAACATAACACAGCATAACAATAACCTCATGTCTTGCCTCCTGGATCTCCTCCCTCTAGTGCATATTTTACTTTGCCACAATATCTGTTTGTTTTTTAACTCAGAACCGATTATGAATCTTCTATTAGAAATAGACAAAGTTTGGGTTTCAAATAAGAGACAGCGCAGTAACCTGAGATTAACAACCCTGGGAAGCTTTTATCCCCTGAAATGGGTTGAACTGTGTCCCCACAAAAGATATGTAAAGTCATAACCCCAAGCACTTCAGAATGTGATCTTTGGAAATAAGATTGTTGCAGAAGTAATTATTTCAGATGAGGTCATACTGGAGTAGGATGGGCTCAATCCAACATGACTGGTGTTTTTATAAGACGAGAAGAAGAAACACAGAGATAAGCACATTGGGAGAAGATGGTGGGGATTAGAGTGATGCAGCCACCAGCTGAGGTACACCGAGGATTGTTAGCAAGCACCAACAGCTAGAAGAGGCAAGGAAGGGCTATTCCCTACAGGTTTCAGAGGGAGCCTGGCCCTGTCAACGACTTGATTTCAGAACTATGAGAAAATAAATTTTTGTTGTTTTAATGTATCCAGTGTATGGTACTTTGTTACAGCAGTCCTAGGAAACTAATACAACTCCCTTTGGCCCAAAGGGAGAAACTTTTAGAACCCAGATATGGTAGCACCTATGGCCTTCAATACAGCATACAGGTAAATGGCAGATTGAGAGCTGAAAAAATAAACATCCTCAGCCCTCTGATTACCTGCAGTTACCTTTCATTCGTTGAACTAAATTGAAAGACAGAGGGTAATTGAAGCCATTGATGTGTGCCTCTGTGGATCAGCCTCCAGTGGCACAGAGGGAGGACAAGAGAAGAAAGAGAATCTAGAAGAAAATAGAACTATCTTGCACAAAGTCCCTGAATGGTTTGGCTGTGCCCCACTCAAATCTCATCTGGAATTGTAGTTCCCATAATGTGTTGTGGGAGGGACCCAGTGGGAGGTGATTGAATCATGGAGGAGGTTACCTCCGTGCTGTTCTAGTGATAGTGAATGAGTTCCCATGATATCTGATGGTTTTATAAGGGGCTTTCCCCTGACTTTGCTCTCATTCCTCTCCTTGCTACTGCCATGTGAAGAAGGGTGCATTTGCTTCCCCTTCTGCCATGATTTTAAGTTTATTGAGGCCTCCCCAGCCATGCAGAATTATGAGTCAATGAAACCTCTATCCTTTATGAATTACTCTAGGGTATATCTTTATTAGCAGCATAAGAATGGACTAATACAGTCCCTAAAAAACTTTGCGTCAGCTTATCTTTCCTGCCTCATCTCTTGTTCTTTCTTAACAAATAACATACAATCAGACATACAGGACAATTCGTACAATCAAGACATCAAGGACCAGTGCCACTCAAGGCACTCTACATGTTCTGCTATCATGTAGATAGCTTATATAGTCCATCTTCTAAAATACTTACTGTATTTTCCACCTTCTCCATCTGTAAAAATCTAACTCATCTTCCAGGCCCTCCATGAAGCATTCTAAGATCCCCCTAGGAAGAAATGACCCCTGCATTGCAACTCCCAGAGTCCTGAGTTTACAGTTCTCTAATTGTATCCACCAAAATCTCTCTGATATTATAGTGAAGGATCTGTCTTCTTTATGTAATTGCAAGATTCCTCAGGGCTTGAATTGACCATTTATAGGCCCTATGTGTACCACAACAATGTACACAAGTAGTGATTCATATACATTAAGTTGAAATGATAATTTTGTATTGAGATGAAGCCTAGAGTCATTCAGTTCAATCTGCCCAATTTATAGAAGTAAAACATGAGGCCCAAAAAAGTGCAGGCAAATGGACAATTAATGGAACTATAGAACTAGGATAAAGATATTTACTTGTATGGTCTGGTATCTTTCCCATACAAATATGGAACAAACATCATTGTCATAAAGCTCTTAATAGAAGCTCCAAAGTCTTACAAAGCTAAGAAAAAATAATATGTAAACGAGTTAGGAATATGTAAGTAAAAAGCTTTTTAAAATACTTGCATGTTGGGAAATTTTTAGAAAGTATTTGGGAAAATATTTTGAGTTTTACTGATAACACAATGTTTGTAAAACAGCTTGTGGTATTTAACATTCTGCAAAGGATGGCAGCTGGGTTCTCCCATTCCAACTTGGTAGCAGTATCTTAAAACATAAATAGATAAAATTATTTGCCATATTTTAAAATAAATACTACTGTATCACTTAAGCTGTCAGTTTCAAAACTTTCAGAATCATTTAATACTCTTGTTGATTTTGTCATGCAAAATGTCAAAACCAATTTCATATAGCTCATAAATAAAAATGGCAGGTTTCTTATCTATATTACCCGATAAAATGAACTTTCTTGTGTGGCAAGATTGGCTATTTTTTATATTAAACTTGTTCTTACATTAGTGGATGCTATATCTTCTCAATGACATCTTTCTACTGGGGAAAAAAATCACAAATGAAAACCTATAAAAGTTAACGATGTAGTGGTTAGTCAGTGGCAGTCAGGAGCTTCCAAGACTACTCTCAGGTTCAATACTGCTATAGAAGGACTCACAGAATTCAGCAAAGCTGTTTACCCACAATTATAGTTTATTACAGTGAAAGGACACAGATTAAAATCAACACCAAGAAAAGGCACATAAAGCATGGTCCAGGAGAGACCAGACAGAGTTACCAGTGGTCTTTTCCTGGTGGAGTTGTGCAAACAATGCTTATTTCTCCTAGCAATAATGTGTGACTTTGTGCATTGAGTATTACCAACCAGGAAACTCACCTGAGCCTTGGTGTCTGGGGTTTTTATTGGGGGATAACCACCCACATAGCTGACCTTAGTTTCTAGCACCTCCAGAGGTCAAGCCTATACTGCCTGACTCAAGGCCCCCAACATAAATCACATTGTTAGCACAGACTATGTGGCATGGCTCAAGGACCCCAAGTCAAATAAAGACACTCCTCTGGCTGGCCATTCCAAAAGCTTTGAGGTTACCTCTCAGGAGCTGAAGGCAAGAGGCAAACCTTTCTTTAGGCAAGGTTGATCCTTTACTATACAAGTGTGCCTTGTAAATTTAAAATATAAATTTCTAGAGAATAGGGTCCCCATCCTGTTGTTTCTACCCTGTACCTGAAGTGTCCAACCCAAGGTTCCAAACTGTCTTGATTTATGGTGCTCTTCTATTATTTTTCATGGTGCCTTTTAGGCCAAAAGAAATTCCTAATAGTAATTGGGTCCAAACAACTTAACAGTAGCATTTGCATGTGTTGATAGGTAATGCTGTGATTCCCTCAAGAATTTTTAATGTTCCATGTGATCCTATGGGTTTGCTGCAGTGCTTCAGAACACCTCAACCCATAGTTTGGAAAGTTCAGTTCCACATGATGCTTTAAGTTACTACAGAGTAGAATTATTATATTGTTTCTTTCCTTTAAAAATGCTTTTTTGGGATCGAAATATGTGCAGAATGCCAGGAACTGGCCTTCCATATACAGGTAAAATCTGCTCTGGAAAGTTTGAAGTGTTTCATAGATGTTATAAAGTTAATAATAAAGGGAAATCTGGAGAAAGGATTATTTTCTCTATTAAACAAGTTAGTAAACCAAATTTTCCAGAGCTTGACGCAGGATCTAACAGACATCCAGGAAATGTTTGTTAAATTCAATTGTAACACAAAAAAGGAAGACTTGCTTACCTTACTCTGTCTTGGATGTGCATGCAAATAGTAGCTTTTAACACCAAGCTTATTTCTCTGTTCATTGAGATGAAGATTTCACTCAAAAAACAACAACAACTTTCTCTTTCTTGTTCATTATAAAAGCAGAAATAGGAATTAGCATCAAAAATTAAGAAATATTAACTATGACCAAGTTTAATTTATTAGAACACTCTTGCCATTGGAAGAAGTAACGAGAAAATTCAAAAAAGATGAGGAAGGGAAACTGTCAGAACCCTCACCTGAGAAAGAAAACTATAGCATGTAATGCAAATTTGTAGGTACAGAAGGGGATTAACAGTTAATATTTAATTTTGCCCTTTTCATTTAAAAGAATATGCCCATTAATTTCAAAGTGTGATGTTATATATAGTTTTTTTTAATTCTAAAAAATCTCTTTAGAATGATTAAGGAATTAGATTCTGTCACATTCACACTATCTGATGAGATTATAAATTGGTGATAAGTTTCTGTGATAATGTGTGCCAAAAGCCTTGAAAATACATCCACCCTTTCTGCATCAATTTAATTCTTAGGACTTCATCCTGTGACATATTAGGAATGCATATAAAAATCATGTTATATGTTAATAAAATATATTCATTATATATGATATATTAACATATATTTTATATATTTTATTGAAATCATGAATGATATATTTTTAATATAATGGAATTAGTTAAATAAATTATGACATCACTATATAGTAAAATACTGTATGGCTGCGAATCATGATAATGTAAAGATGCATTAGTTGCATGAAAAATGTTGAGGATACATTACTAATTAACAAAAGCAGGAAAGGAGTATTATTATTTTATTTTGGCAATAGTGCCACTTATTAATATATATTTTATACACACAAATGCAAACACTAGAAAGAAATATACCAATGTGTTAAAGTAGTTATTTTGGGTAATAAGTTCAAGTGAAGACCTTTTTTCCTTCCTGCCTGCCCGCCTGCCTTCCTCCCTTCTCCTCTCTCTCCTTCCTTCCCTTATTTCCTTCCTCCTTTTCTCCTCTTCTTCCCTCTTCTTGGTTTCCTTTGTGTTCTAAGCATTTGGGTTTTCATTACTTTTAAAATTTAAACAAATTATACTGTTTTGTTTTATTTTTAACTTTATCTCATACAAGTTGGCTATTTGGATTTTTCCTTAGGGGATTTAGGTGGAAAAAGAAAGTGAAATGATTGTATTCCTCTCTTTTCCACCTGATGAACTCTTCCTTTCATGATTCCAAATTCTCTTCCTCCACATATAAGAGGGAAGAAATAGGAAAGGCAGGATGAACATCACACTACAACTTTCAGAAGCAGACGTAGAAAAAATTCCACCACAGACATTGCTTTTCAGGAATTGATTTTTTAAATTAAATTATTTCTATATTTTTATACCTATTTTGATAATTGAGAGATTGGTAGAAAAACAAGTCAGGTATTTGCTGTAATTGTTTCATGGCATTTAAATATTATGTATTTTTTCTCCACAATAGTTTAGAAGAAATTAGTTTTGGCTTTGATATGTAAAACTAAAATGAGTCATAGTTTTTCTGATATAACATAACATTTTTAATGAGTTAATAAATCTCAACTCTTTAACGTCTGGATAAAAAATTTCAGACAGTTCAAAATGGCTAACTAGAGGCACCCAGCACTCATCTCCTCCACAGAGAAGGAGGAAAACAGTAAGTAGATAAACATAGATCGAATACAGCATCGAAGAGAGAACACTGGAATTCAGCAAGGAAGTGACATGGAATATCTGAGGCATGGAAGGAGAGAGAAACAAGGCAGCTGGCCCAGCTGGGACCTGAGAGGAGCCAAAAGAGGCTCCCCAGTGTGGGGAAAGGGTAAGGGAGAGATCCCTAGAAGTAGACTCCTGCAGTCCTGAGAACTGAGAATAGTATAGGGAGCTGCCTGGGGTCCTTGCAACACAACTGTTCCAGATGGGAGCTCTTGCTGGGTCTAACACATTCCCCAGACCCAAGCAGCGTGGTGCTATTTTGAGAGCCCCCACTAGCCTACATCCTGCCCTGGGGCCCAAAAGCCCTGCATCTTCACATTCCTGGAACCCTGCCAATATTGATAATCCCCCATGACAACCCAGAGCGCTGCAACACGGAGACGCTGGCTGAACCTAATGGTGCTGCTGCGTTCCAAGCCCTCTAGCCCATGCAGAGTCTTACACCCCGGGGAACAGGCAGTGCAGCACACTGGGGAGGATGCACCCAGGAAGAAGTAAGGCAAAATGTGCACTCCCCAGAGCCTGAAGAACACCACTGCCACTGACAGCCAGCCCAGTCACCCCAGCAGAAGGGCCACCATGCACATGTATGTGCCTTCAATGGACCTGGTGACTGGTCCAGGCAGATGTCATCCAAGGGCCTGAGGACAGGCCAGTCTTACTCACTGCTGCTATCACCCAAGCACAACAGCTGAAGGCTTGGGGACCAACCCACCCTGCCTGCTGCTTCTGCTATATGAATGCGTTATCAGGGGGCCTAACAGCAGAGCCAGTCTACCTACCACTGGTGCCTATGCAGGCTGTCTGGGACACTGGGGATTGCCCCGCCTCACACACTACAGCCTGTGCACGCGTACACTATTGGGGACCCAAGGACAGGCCTGCCATGCTTGGCATCATGCTTTCCAGTGCTCAGGTGTGCCATCTGCAGTCCTGGAGATTGACCTGCCCTGCCTGAACCATTGGCATATGCACACAACATCAGTAGGTTTGTCATTGCCAGCTGGGCCTAACGACAGACCCAGCCTACCTGCCAATCGTGCCAAAGCATGCTCTCTGGGGGCCTTGGAATTGACGCACCTCATTTGCTGCCACCAGTGTCTATGCATGCTTTCCAGAGGCCTGAGGACAGGCCTGCCCAGCCTGCCAACACCTGTGCAAATAAACTGGGAGCCTGAGAATTGAACAGTCCCACCCACCACAGCCTGCACCCACGTGTAACACCTGGGGCCTGAGGACAGAACAGTCCTGCCTGGTGCGAGGCCTGTCAGTACTTGCACGTGTCATCTGGGGGCCTAGGGATTGATTACACAGTCTGCCATTACTGATGTCTGTGCAATTCTCCTGGGGGCTTGAGGATGGGTCCTCCCAGCCTGCCACTACCACAAAGGCTGCCACCCACCAATGTGCAACCACCAGTAGTGCATGAGGGCCTGAGTATTGGCCTGTCACTGTTACTGTCATTGTCCATACCACACATGCCACCAAGGGGCCTATGGACATGCCCACTTGCTTGACCCACCTCTGCCACTGTTGGAACCTAAGCAAGCTGCCTGGCTGCCTGCCTGGACTTGCAAATACCAGTAACGGTGTATACACCTGGGGGCCCAAGGATGGGCCCAATTGTCCTGCCACCACCATCACCATCAGAGCTCAATAACCTACCCAACTGGTGTCTCCCATCCCAAAATAGCCTCACCATATCCTCCACTAACAATTGCAACCTAAGTCACTGAGGAAAACTCAAAAATACCACTGATGCTGATTACAGCTGAAGAAATCATACAGAAACTACACACACCCAGAATCAAAGCTAAAGTGCCCTACCCAACCAACACCATAGACACATCTATAGGAAAAAGTCTTTCCTTACAAAAGCCAATCCAAAAAATTAAGAAGTGACTGTTACATGACATGTGCACGTATCAATGCAAGGATGCAAGAAACATGAAAAGGCAAGGAAACATGACACCTCCAAAGGAACATAATAATTCTTCAGCAACAGATTCCAACAAAAAAGAAATCAATTGACTGAAAACGAATTCAAAATAATGAAATTAAAGAAGCTCGGTGAGATACAAAAGGACATAGATTTAAAAACACAAACAAATCAGAAAAAACAGTTCATGATCTGAATGAAAAACTCAACAAAGAGATATCATAGAAAAGGACCAACAGAAATCCAAAACTGAATAAGTCAATGAATGAAATAAGAAATACAATGTAGAGCTTCAAAATCCACTAAGTCAAGCAGAAAAAAGAATTTCTGAACTTGAAGATGCCTTTTGTGATAATCCCATCAGACAAAAAACAAAAAAGAATAAAAAAGAACAAAGCCTACATAACATATGAGACAAAGAAGTGACCAAATATTCAAATTTTGGGTGTTCCTGAAGGAGAAGAGATGAGTAAAGGCATCAAAGAAACTCCTAGTTATGATAGATAAATTCAGCAAAGTTATAGGATACAAAACCAACATACACAGATCAGTAGCACTTCTGAACAACAATAATGAAGTAGCTGAGAAAGAAATCAAGAAGATAATCCTGTTTGCAATATTTAAAAATAAATAAATAAATAAAATACCTATGAATACATTTAACCAAGATGATAAAAGATCTCTAGAAAAAAATCTGTGAAACACTGATGAAAGAAACTAAAGAGGACACAAACAAATGGACAGACATCCCATGCTCATGGATAAGGAGAACAAACATCGTTAAAATGACCATATTACCTAAAGCAATCTACAAATTCAATGCAATCTCTATCAAAATACTAACGTTATTTTTCATGGAAATAGAGAAAAAAACATAAAATTCAAATGGAACAGAAAAAGAGCCCAAGTATCCAAAGCAATGCCGAGCAAAAAGAACAAAGCTGAAAGCGTCACACTACCTGACTTCAAATTATATTACAATGCCATAGCAACCAAACCAGCATGGTAGTGTTATAAACACAGACTCTAGACCAATGAAGCAGAATAGAGATCCAGAAATAAGTCTGCATATTTACAGCCAACTGATTTTTCAACAAAGGCACTAAGAATAAACACTGTGGAAAGGACACCCTCTTCAATAAATGGTGCTGAGAAAACTGGAAATCCATATACAGAATAATAAAACTAGATCCCTATCACTCACCATATACAGAATAATAATACTAGATCCCTATGACTCACCATATACAAAAATCAACTCAAAAAGGATTAAATACAAATGTAAATCCTGAAATTATAAAACTACTACAAGAAGCCATAAGGGAAATGCTGTAGGAGATTGGTCTAGGCAATAATTTTATGACTAAGACTGCAAAAACAAAGACAACAAAGGGAAAAATAGACAAATGGGATTAGAGCAAACTAAAACACTTATGCACAGCAAAGGAAACAATCAAGAGAGCAAAGACACAAACTGCAGAATGGGAGGAAATATTTGCAAACTATTCATCCCACAAGGGACTAATACCCAGAATATACAAGGAACTCAAAAAACTCAACAGTATAATATATATAATAATTGCACTAAAAATTGGGCAAAGGACATTAACAGACATTTCTTGTCTGTATAAAAGAAAGTCTGTATAAAAACAGACAGACTCATAGACCAATGAAACAAAATAGAGAATCCAGAAATATTATTAAGTCCACATATTTATGGCCAACTAATTTCCAACAAAGGTGCCAAGAATAAACATTGGGGAAAAGACATTCTCTTCAATAAATGATGCCGAGAAAACTGGAAATCCCTATGCATAAGAATGAAACTAGACACCTATCACTCACACAGTTGATCACAAAAATCAACTCAAAAGACTTTCTTTTATATAGACTTTCTTTCTCAAAAGAAGTCATACAAATGGCTAACAAGTTTATTTAAAAAATGCCCAGCATCATCAATCACCAGAGAAATGCAGATCAAAACCACAATGAGACATCATCTTACCACAGTTAGAATGACTATTATCAAAAAGACAAAAAATAACAAAAGGTGGCCAGGATGCATAGAAGAGGGAAATTTTATACACTCTTGATGGGAACATAAATATGTATAGTCATTATAGAAAATAGTCTGGAAGTTTCTCAAAAAACTAAAAATATAACTACCATATGATCCAGCAATCTCATTACTGGGTATTTATCCAGTAGCAGGAAAGGAAATCAGTAAATCAAAGTGACATCTGCACCCCTATATTTATTATAGCACTATTTACAAGAGGTTGATATGGAATCAACCTAAGTGTCTATCAACAGATGAATGGATAAAGAAAATATGGTATGTATATTCAATAAAATACTATTTAGCCATAAAAAATGAAATTTTGTCATTTACAGCAACATGGATGGCACTAGAGATCATTATGTTAAGTGAAATAAGGCAGGCACAGAAAGACAAATATCACATGTTCTTGATATATGGGAGTTTAAAAAGTTGATCTCATGGAAGTAGAAAGGAGAATGATAGTTCCCAGAGGCTGGAAACACAGGGGCAGATGAAGAGAAGTTGGTTATATGTATACAAACATATACTTAGATAGAAGGACTAAGTTCTAGTGTTCAATAGCACAGTAGGCTGACTATAGCTATATATTGTATATTTTAAAACAGCTAGAAGAGAATATTTGAAATGTTTCCAACACAAAGAAATGATAACTGTTCAAGGTGATGAATATCCTGTGTACCTTTATTTGATCATCACACATGGTATGCATATATCAAAATATCACATATATCCCACAAATATGTTCAAATATTATGCATTAATAAAAATGATTTAAAAAAATTGAAGGGAGCCAAAAAGAAGTCATGTTTTAATGCCAGGATAAGAAAGGCAATAATAGAAAAAACAGCATTCTAAAACTGACATAGTTTTCTGATATTGAAGTCTGGATTTTAGGGAAGGTACACAGTTCACTGCAGATTAGGACATTTTGAGGCTTTATGTTGGTAGGAGCAGGATATTAGTGATAGTACTTACGTTGTATCAACAGTTGTGTACAACCTGAGATGGAGCAGATGGTTTGAGTTTTGAGAATATTAAGCTTGTGGCAGATAAATGGAATTTTTGCTAAAATATTAAATATTGGTTAATAAAATATTTTCAACCAATCCTTCTTTAAATAATTAATCCCATCGAAACAATCATTACTGGTGCTTCATGCACTTCAGAGAAAATTCATTGTGGAACCACGATGTTAACTTTTCAATTTAATTCACTTCCATGCTGCTGGAGTCCCATGAGCACTAGATTGAATGCCAGGGGTGGTGGGTCAAGGATTCAGGCAAGTTTGGGCCAATTTGGAGGGTGGAAATAGGGAACCACATATTATTCTATTTTCACAAAGGCCCAATGAATTCTGTAGGGAAGAAGTCATGGCAAAATAAAGGGCTGCAGTTTTAAGCAGCAGAGATATGGGCGGCCATCATGAGTCCCAGCAGGGACTTCTAATGGGTTTGGTGTAGAGGACAGCCACTTCCAGTAAGCTGGAACCTAAGGGATAAGGAATAAAATGGTAAACACTGGAAGAACAAGTTCTCAGAATACGAGTGAAAAATGTGTGTGAGGAGGGGTTCCCAAAACTATAAGAGGACTTTGAGGGGTTTTATTCCAATAGACGCTGTGGGAATATACTTTTTGGCATCCATTATTGTTACTCTGGTCTTAGCCTGTTGTCACCTGGAAAATGCAGATTACTTTTATATCTCTGGAAAGAATAGTGGCTTGGTCATCAGATGGCACACTCAAAAGGCACACATAAGTAGGTTTCTTGTCTCTGTCTTTAAAACAATAAGCACTTAAAGTATCATTTGGAGAAAACAGCAGTTACCAGGAAATCACTTAGCTGAGATAAAAAAGAAAAGAATCCTCGAATAGCATTTAATCTTCAAAATAAGAATTTTCCATTCTTGGGTCAGACCGATAGATGACATGGCATTTAGACATCCAATTCATACCTTTGCTTGCAACTGAGCCTCAGACACACATATATGATGGAAATGTTCTTTGGCATTACACTGCTTTCTTAGTTTGCATCGCTAGTCACCTTTGTATCATTTGCATCTGATTTGGAAAATATTTTAGAACAACCCAATAACAACTTCGAGATTAAAAAATAAAATTCTACACACTTTACAGTTCCTTGCTATTACATGAATGTGTAAATTGAATTCCCTCTCAGGAGAAAAAAAACAAAACAAGGGCTGGCTTCCCAAAAATGTTTTCACTGGCTTTAGGGAACTAAAACACCAGTGTCTGGGTGAGTAATACTTCCTGTAAAATAAAGATAGATCAACACATAATTAAGTCCTGGCTCACATATAATTGTTGTTTTGGAAACAGTTTTGAGGATAAATATGGTTATGCTAATGAAACTGCCCATGATTTCCACTAATGATCCAGTTTATTAATTAGGTCAGGACATTTTTCCACCTTGTGCTATCCATTTTGGAATGCTGAAAAGGGTTAAAAAAAAAAACTTCTAAGAGAACACTGTAGGCGAAGAAAAAGAGAGAAATTTTAAATTAGTTATCAACTCTTCTAAGGATTCCAGTTGGAGGAGTAGATCGAAAGTGCTTTTTCGATTATTTATGGGTTTCGAAGATTCTTCCTACTCCACTAGGCAGAAAAACAGAGTTGTAATATACAGCATTTAGAATTCATAATCCTTAGCATTATTTCTCTGAACTCGACATCCTAAATAGCCAGCGTTTACTAATTCCAGAGCTGAGTGTAGTTTTGTAGGAAGTTCTACTGAATGCGGAGACCAAAGGGGAGCCTGCCTGCTCTGAGGGTTTTGTTGAGGCTGAGTGTGAACTCCGGGCGAGAAAGCGCATCTCAGCTCTTAGATCACACCCACTCAGGGTGTGCGTGTGTGTGTGCGCGGGTGCCTGCGCGCGTGTGTACGTGTGGGGAGGTGTGCGCCAAAGGGGTGGGGTGAGGGGCGGCGAGGAGGGCTGTAGGTGAAGCGCGGGGAGAGGGAGGTCGCCCGCTCCGGCCTCTCCCCCAGGGGCCCTGCGGCTGGCCAGCGCTCCGGCTGCACCTCCTGGTGCGCGCCGCGGCGGCGCCACAGGCCCCTCGACCCTTTGACCACCGCCCTCGGGCCGCGCGTCCGGCAGCCGGGACCGGTGATGGCGCGGGACTGACGGCCGTCTCCTCCCAGACCCCTCTGTCCCGCCTGGGGCTCGCTGGGGCTGCGGCGCCGCCCCGAGCTGCATGTGGGGCGGGCGCGCCCGAGCCCAGAGCGAGCGGCCCTCGGCGCCCCCGAGGCGGTGCCCCGCCGCGCCAGAGTACGAGGAGGAGCGGCGGGCCGGGCCAGGCTCCCCACGCGCCGCAGCCTCGGAGCACGGGCTCCCCGGAGGGGACTTGGGGCGTCCCAGCCCAGGAGGAAGGACCCGGAAGCAGAAGCGGAGCCGCGAGTCGAGCCGAGCCACTGCCCCCGCTGCCCGCGGGCGCCGGGTGGGGGTCCCGGCGGCTGGATGGGCAGCGGCGGCGCGGGCCGCGGGCGGCGATGGGCGAGGAGCAGAGCACGGTGAGCGGCGGCGGCGGGCCCCAGGAGTCGCAGACCCTGGCCAGTGGCACTGCGGGCCACCCTGAGCCCCCGAGGCCTCAGGGGGACAGCGCCCGGGCGCCCCCGCTGCGCGCCGCCTCCGCGGAGCCGAGCGGCGGTGGCTGCGGAAGCGACTGGGGCTGCGCGGACACCAGCGCCCCAGAGCCCGCGAGGAGCCTGGGGCCCCCGGGCTGGAGTAAGAGCCGAGCACCGGCGCAGCCTGCGGGACTGGCACTCACCGGGCCTCTCAATCCCCAGACCTTGCCACTGCAGTTGGAGCTGGAGGAGGAAGAGGAGGAAGCTGGGGATCGAAAAGAGGGAGGGGATGAACAGCAGGAGGCGCCCCCCGGCGAAGAGCTGGAGCCCAGGACCCGCGTGGGGGCCGCCGACGGACTGGTCCTGGACGTGCTGGGTCAGCGGCGCCCGTCCCTCGCCAAGAGACAAGTCTTCTGCTCCGTGTACTGCGTGGAGAGCGACCTGCCCGAGGCCCCCGCCTCGGAGCAGCTCTCGCCGCCCGCGTCGCCACCTGGGGCTCCGCCAGTGTTGAACCCTCCCAGCACCCGCTCTTCCTTCCCCAGCCCCCGACTGTCCCTCCCAACGGATTCCCTCTCCCCCGACGGCGGCAGCATCGAGCTGGAGTTCTACCTGGCGCCCGAGCCGTTCTCCATGCCCAGCCTGTTGGGAGCTCCACCCTACTCTGGCCTGGGCGGTGTAGGGGATCCCTATGTGCCCCTCATGGTGCTGATGTGCCGGGTGTGCCTGGAAGACAAGCCCATCAAGCCCCTGCCTTGCTGCAAGAAGGCCGTGTGCGAGGAGTGCCTCAAAGTCTACCTGAGCGCCCAGGTAACTTCACCCCCTTCTCTTCCCCATTTATCATTCCAAATCACTGGCGAGGAGGTCCTGCTCTCGATCTGATCTCCCTGCTCGCGCGAAGAGGTGACCGACACACTTACTGAGGATCTCTGTTAGTTTCTCACGTCTCAGTTGTTATTTAAGTGTATTATGACCTCACTGGTTTACTTAACTGGAATTTAACTTTGCTGTGAACTTCAGGCTATGGTTGGCATGTGTAGAAGGCACAAGATACAAGTTGTTGCCCTCCTCTTATTTCTTATACAGGATTGCAAGCACAAGCTTGCTCAAAGGAGGAGAGGAAGAGACTGCCTCATCGGCCTGGTATCCCAGAAACTAACAAGCAGTGGGCATAGAATAAATATTTATGGAGCTGGTGGAGAAAAGAATTGGAATAAATATTTCAGACCCATAATACATGAATTTGTAATTTTGCTTCATTTGTATATTCCAGGAAAGAGTGAATGTTTAAAAAAATGTATCCCTTGGCCTTTGCCTACTTTTCAGTTTCCTTTTTCCACAGTAAAGTTGAAGTACTTTTCTTTCACTGAGGTTTTAAGCCAGCACTCTTTAAGAGGGAAGCAAAACAGAAAGAGCAAAACAAAGCAAAGAGAGGCTAAGAGGTTTCTCAGAACAAGCACTGGTGAAACTTTCCTCCTCTGCTTTTATTTGAAAACTTGGTTTTTTTTCTTGGAAAGCTTGAGAGTGCACCAGACCAGCTTTCCTTCACTGACGGTGAATGCGTTCTTCCAGCAGTTTTCAATCTGTGATGTTTCTGCCAGTGTTTTGCACAATCCTGGATGCCCTTTGATCCTGTGTCCAATTGTCCTAGGCCTATTCATCTTTCAAAACCCTGTGTGTTCAGGTGCCAACTCTTCTGTGAAGCGTTGCCTCACCCTCCAAGTCACTGCTTATATACTTTCACAGTATCTTATATTATCTTACATGCACTGAAGTTGTTTCTTTCGTGTCTGCTTGTCTTGTTAGACTGTCTGGACAATGTCTTAGAGTCCCATATGTGGTAGCTTCATGTTGAGTCCCTTGCCCATCATAGTGTTTTTAATAACATTGGCTGGGACAAACTGAACAGGGCTCCGTACCATGTGATTCCTCTATGTTTTTTGGCTAACTCATGCTTGGGTCTAGACTGAAAGTGTGTACAGTCCCTAACTAAAAATGCAAACAAAGACTTAAAACGGTATGTTACATAAACAGTAAGTTGGCTAAAATAGTTGGGATTATTTAAAAGCCTCTGAGAGACTGTTGTTTCTTTCATGCTTTATCTACAGAGATTCTTAAAACAGGAGGAATGTCTGCTGCTGGTTGTGGTAGTTTCTGTATCATCATCCTCAAAACAGATTTCGCTGCCCTGCGATGGGATTCAGACATTTCCAAAATATAAGCCCGCCTCCAGGGAAGTCACTGTGAGAGCAGATGTGTACAAAAGAACAATACAAGGTAGCATGGGATGAGATGTCAATAGAGTAACAATTCCAGATAGCACTTCCTGTTAAATGCTGGATACACATTCCAGAAATTCAAGGGAGGTAGTCATTGTGGCTTGGGGTACTTTACCTAGCAGTTTGATTTCCTTATGGTGGGCCCTTTCCCCAAAGCAGTTTTCTTTTTCTTTATTAAACCTCATAAGTTAGTTTTAGGAAGTTTTAGTAATGGTAGTAGGGAGACAGAGGGACATAGTCAAGTGGTCATTGCAGTGTACAGTACAACCACTAAAAACTCCTCTGCAGTGACACAGTATCTGAAGCTTGTCTGCAGCATTTCTGATTGTATGTATGTGCCTGACCTTCTTCCAAAGTATTTGCTGGGACTTTCAATAAATAATAATACACATTATTGGCCGGGTGCGGTGGCTCACGCCTGTAATCCCAGCACTTTGGGAGGCTGAGGCAGGTGGATCACCTGAGATCGGGAGTTCAAGACCAGCCTGACCAACATGGTGAAACCCCGTCTCTACTAAAAATACAAAATTAGCTGGGCATGGTGGCGCATGCCTGTAATCCCAGCTACTTGGAAGGCTGAGGCAGAAGAATCACTTGAACCCAGGAGGCAGAGGTTGCAGTGAGCCAAGATCACATGATTGCACTCCAGCCTGGGCAACAGAGTGAGACTCCTCTCAAAAAAAAAGAAGAATATACATTATTTAAAATAATAAACAGCAACAAAAAGATGAGTCATAGATACCGGGCATGCTTTCACCTCAGGGCTTTTGTACTTGGTTTTCCCTGTTCCAGGAAGGTTCCCTCCATGGCCCTCTTATCTGCTCACTGCACTCCTTTTCAGGGCTATATTCAAATGTCATGCCCTGTGACTTTCACTGACCACCCTTTTAAAAATTGAGCCTCACCCCACGCTCTCTCTCTTTTTTCCTGCTTTTTATTTTCTCCATAGCACTAACATACTCTGTCTTACACTTAAGTAATTAAGTCAAGACAGAAGTTTTCACATTATTTGTACAGGTCTGTATCTTTAGCATCTACAGCGTTGTCTGGTATATAACAGATGGGCAACTAAAACCTACTGAATTTTTGAAAGGCCTGAGATTGCCCCAGAAACCAAGGCTAGGAAGTGGTGTTCTGCATTGGCACTAAATTCTATTCTGAGCTTCTTGATACTTAAGACAAAAGACAAAGGGCTTAAAGCGGACAAAAGTAACAGGTTTGCTAAGTTGGTTATTAAACTTAGAATTTAAGAGCTTAGATAAACTTTGAGCTTATACATAAAATAGCCTTTTTTAGTTGGTTAAAAATACAGGATTGTGGTTGTAATATTTTTGATCTGTGTCAATTCTATGGTCCCTCTACTCAAAGGTTGTGTTTCTCTGTCACTTAACCTCTCTATGCCTTAATTTCCTCATCAATGAAATGTAATTGCAGACAACCTGTAATAACCCACCAGTTCCAAAGCAAAACAAAGTCAAACTGCATGGTTATTTTGTTGCCCTACTGAACCACATCAAAAGGGCATAGTGAGTGCTTTCTTTCTCATCTTAAAAGGTCTCTTAGGTTTGACAGAAGCAAATGTGTCAAGCCTAAACTTTCAGGGTTCTTAAGACCTTTTGAAAAAAATGATGTATTGAGATAAAGAGTTATTAGTGACTTTTTTCCACCATTTCTTTTAGTTTGTGCCACATAGTGCATTATTTAACATCATTTAAGAAAATAAAAGAGTCCCTATTAAACATTTTATGCCAACATTAAATTGCATATTAAATGTGAGTTGGACTATTGCCTGGTTAACTGAATATTTTTGTAAAAGGAGATGCACAGTTCTTTGAAAGAAGATGTCAACTTGGAAGATAGGAATATGGATTTTTAGACAGTATGTTTTCAGCAGTGCCATGGACTAATCTGTGACAAAGGCCAATTGGTAGGTGTCATCAATATTTCAATATAGACATAGCAAATTAGATGGTGACTTAAATACCTCTATGCTCTGTATAAAATTATAGTTTTGTTTTTCAAAACATAGTTCTTCTCCAGTTATTGCCATGACTGTGGCTAGGCAGCCCATCTTAGTGGAATAACTTTACAGTGCAGTAGCTGCCATCCAGTTTCTGATCGCCACGGTGAAGAGGTGAGCTGACAGATTATGAATCTTTAGCACCACAGTATATGTTGATTTAGAGCTCTAAATCCAAGGCAGAGATAGTTATATTATTCATATTATATTGCTCGTGTACATAAATCTGGAACATTCATTTCAGAAGTACATTTCCCAGTGACCTGTGTATGCGTGTGTGAATATGGCTAAAGTACGTAGTCCCAGGGATGTCTGCAATATCCTGCACATCCCTTAACCCTCCTAAGTATTGGCCTTCTCAGCTGACTTGGCCTTTACCACATTTTCCTAGGAGGAAATATTATCTGTTGCCTTCTTTGTTTCACAGAATGGTACTATGTTCATTTCAGAAATCTTCCACCAATATTTTTCTTTTATGATTTGGTTTAGACAGAAAAATCTGTCATAAATATGAAATATTAATATTTAGTACTTTAGATGAAGAAAGGAAGAGACATGAGGATGCCAAAGGGGCTTGCTGAAGGTGACAGCTGTTGTGGATTCCACCACTCTGCCTAAAAGTGCTAGAGATTGGCAGATGCATATAACTTGGAATGTATACACCTGTCCAATGAGTATTAATAGATACAAGCAACACATTTCTTCTACAGATTGTGAACAAAACAGCTGCTAGATGATAAAGTCCTAAAATGACTGTCTACTGTAGTCACCCTAGAGTCAGTGACCCAGAGGTGAAAGCTTATATATCCTATTATTAAATTATGAGTCATCCAAATCTTCATGGGTAAAAGTGTAACATAACATAAATTTTTTTTTTTCTTTGAGAGAATCTCCCTCTTGTCGCCCAGGCTGGAGTGCAATGGCTTCATCTTGGCTCACTGCAACCTTTGCCTCCCGGGTTCAAGCGATTCTCCTGCTTCAGCCTCCTGAGTAGCTGGGATTACAGGTGCATGCCATCAAGCCAAGCTAATTTTTTGTATTTTTAGTAGAGACGGGGTTTCACCATGTTGGCCAGGCTGGTCTCGAACTCCTGACCTCAGATGGTCCACCCGCCTCGCACTCCCAAAGTGCTGGGGGATTACAGGCATGAGCCACCGTGCCTGGCCCCATAAATTCATTTCTTTTAAACCTTAAAGCACCCTGCATATTTTTGGAAACCATTGTGTTCAGTGTTGAGTTTGAATGCAGTTGTCTTCACACAGGTGAATTTATAGAACCTGTCATGCCCGGTGTGGTTTTGGTAGTCCTGAAAATGTGAAGAATAATATGAGACTGAAATCTGTTTTGAGGTCACTCTAAAAATTTGAAAAGTGGGAATTAAGGCATATTTAAACTTATCCTTCTGTGTGCAAAATGTATGTGTGTGTGTGTGTGCGTGCGTGTGTGTCTGGGGGTGCAGTAACATTTGCTTTCATGCCTTACTCATTCCATTATTTTCCTCCACTCTCTACATCATTTCTCTTTAATAATTTTTCTTTTTTCTTTTCCTTGTTCTTTTACTTTTTGAAATCTGATTTTAATTGGCATTTGATTTCTCTAGAGGAATCCTCTGTCAAGTGCTAAGCCCTGGGGCCAGCAGGACTTTTTCCGAGGCATGCTGCATGGGTATTTCCTGTCCCTTCCAGCTGTCTGGAGATGAGGCTACATAGAGAAACCTTGCATTGAGTTCCACTGCCTAAAATATCTCAAATAACATTACAAGTACTGCTGACCTAAGGCATCAGCTGATACCTTTAGAGTGTGATTTTTCCCTCCTAGAGCTTTTATACCTGAAGGCTCTTCCTTAACTCCTGATACAAAAGACATAAAAAAGAGATCATTAGAATTTAAACCCTCAGCTTTTTATTAAGGGTTTGTGATGGACAAAGTAGGCATACCTGAGCGGTAATTTCTTATAATTATTCATTTATCAGTGCACTATTTGTGCATTTAACAAACATTTATTGGGGTACCTGTATGATAAGCACCATGAGATACTCTATAAATGTATTAAATGTCCTAAAGGAACCATCTTATAGCCTTGTTGGCAGTATTTTCCCCAGCTTTATCTGATGGCATAAATAAGCTTTTTTTTAAAAAAGTTACTAGACAGCTATGGATCTGCTTTCTCTCTGGGAGATTTTTATTAAGCCAGTTCTGGGACACCAGCTAACTTTTTATTAATCTCATTTACTATTCCTTCTGTTATGTTTAATCCAAAGTTATAAATCTATTACTTATTTCTTAATATAAATATTTCTCAGCTATGTTTGATTGCTGGAAATATATTAGTAAATACAAAGATATACATATTTTGTTCATTTCAAAATATTTTCTGCCTTTATATAAAGAAAACACAATTTTGCTCAGTTTGTTTTGGATCATTCATGACATACTTAAAAATGTTTATTTTTTTCAAATTCAGTTTGTCAGAAGGGTTTTACATTATAAGCAAAATGAACCTTCCCAAATTGAATTTTTGCTTTAAAAATTCAATGTGTATGGGAGAATGACTTCTAGTTTATATCGTTCTCTATCAACTTTATCACTACTATTTGCCCCACCAATTTTGGGATAACTGCACTTGAATTTGCAAGTTTTTACAAATAGTAAGAAAGACCATTTATTGGACATCTATCTTGTAAACATTCTTACATGTATTTTTATTTAATTCTAATTTACTTATGTATTAAATACTTATTACATACAAGGCACTGTTTTAGGCTCTGGGGATACAAGAGACTAAAACATTTAAAGCTCCTGACTTCATGGAATTATATGCTAGGCTGTGGAAATGGAAAATGAGATAAGTAAATTATTTAGCTTATTAGAAGATAATAAGGGCAATGGAGAAGGAGAAATAAGGGAAGAGTGATACTGGGGAGGGATTTTCCTTGATAAATCTATAGTTTTGGGGGGGTTGTCATGGAGGATATGTTTTACGAAGGGATTTTTGAGAAGAGATCTTCATGATGCCAATGAAGGAACAAACCATGAGGATATCTAATAGAATAATAAGGTGTAAAGTTCCAAAGATAGAAGCATACGTGTGAGTTTCCAGGAATCGCAAGGAGATCTGTGAGGCTGAAGCATAGAGAATGAAGTGGGTAGTGCTAAAAAGAAGACAGCAGGAGGAGTGGGGAAAGCTGGTCGGGCAGGGATTAAGCCCATCAGGTATCTTCATTTCCCTAAAGTAAAATGTTGTAAGAAGATACTGAGCAACAGACTAACCAGATATGCCTTTCCCTTTAAAAGAGATTACTCCATCTCTTTGTGGAAAATATACTGTAGGAGTCAAGAGTGGAAGTAAAAAGATCAGTTAGAAGACTATGGAATAAATCAAAGGAGAGACAATACAGTTCAGACTAGAGTGATACAGGCGAACGCAGTTTGAACTGGTTGAATTTGGAATATATTGTGAAGTTAGAACTGACAGAATGCCAATGATTGCACATGGGATGAGAGAAAAAGAGTCAAGCATGAGTCAGGTTCTGAGCTCAAGCAATTAGAAAACTGGGGTTGCCGTTTAATAAGATGAGGAATAGTGTAGGAGGACTAGGTTTAGGGAGAATGAGAAATTTGATGTGCCTTTTAGACATTCATGAAGGGATGTTGAGTAGGCAGTTGGCGTCTGGCATTCAGAAGAGAGATCTGAGCAGAAGATATAAATTTGAACGTGGATGGCATATAGATGGTATTTAAAGCTATTAGACTGGATGAAGTCACCTGTGGAGGGAGTGTCAGTAGCTAGAGAAGAAGGATTGGAGACTGAGTCCGAGCATACCAATGTTCACAAATATGGAGTCTGGGACATCAGAAAGAAGAAGCAAAGAGTCTAAAAGGGAGTGGGCTAATTCGGCAAGAAGAGTACTGAGAGTACTTACCCAGAAGCCAAAGACAGTGTTTTAAAAGGGATAATCACATGTGTCTAATGCTTCTGATAGTTCCAGCAGGATGAGGTTTGAAATTGACCATCAGATTTCCCAACAAGGAGTTTATTGGTAACTGTGAGCAGTGCTGTTTTCATTGGCAGCCATGGGATGGTTTTCAGGTTAGAGTGGGTTCAAAAGAACAGGAACAATTCTGTTTTTGTACTGCAGGTAGTAGAATGTTATATGAGGGAACTCGAGGTTAGAGAGATTAAATAACTTGCCCAAAATCTCAAAGCAAGGGAATGGCAAAGGTGGAAGTGAAATTCAGATGTTTGGCTCTAAAACCTATGGCTTTTGTACATTCTTTAAATTGATTATTTCATTTATAAGGTAAACTTATATTTTTCTTTTTCTTTTAAGTTGATACATATATTGTACAAAAAGCACAAGTCTTCCAATCCAAGAAGGAGAAGACACTTAATTACATGTTTTGAGGAAGCGAAAGGCTGCCACTCAAACTTAGGTCTAGAGATTACAGCCAAACTCAGCCTCATCTACTTGTAAGGAAATCAAGAGGAATTTGGCTTAGGAAAGCTATGATTTGATTTGATTTACTGTTAAGTTTTTTTTTGTTTGTTTGTTTGTTTTGAGACGGAGTCTCACTCTGTCACCAGGCTGGAGTGCAGTGGCATGATCTCGGCTCACGGAAACCTCCACATCCCAGGTTCAAGCGATTCTCCTGCCTCAGCCTTCCGAGTAGTTGGGACTACAGGTGCGTGCCACCATGCTCAGCTAATTTTTGTATTTTTAGTAGAGATGGGGTTTCACCATGTTGGCCAGGATGGTCTTGATCTCTTGACCTGGTGATCCTCCTGCCTCGGCCTCCCGAAGTGCTGAGATTACAGGCGTGAGCCACGGCACCCGGCCGATTTACTGTTAAGTTTTAATGGCAACATACTCTCCTGTTTTCTTCCTAAGTTTCTGGTCATTCCTTTTGTCAGAACTTTCTTGTATTTTACCATCTCTTAATGTTGGTGTCTGTGTAGTCCTGAGCTAAACCTCTTCTCTTCTCACTTTGTATACTGTTAGTGGGGCCATCTTACCCACTCTCATGGTTTCAAGTAACACCTACCTGTTGTTGATTCCCAAATCTTTATCTGTATCCCCAGTCAAGTGTCATATAGCCATCTCTCTCCTGAACAATTGTAGTGGATGTCCCATACATAGCCACCTTAAACTTAACTTCTCAAAACTAAATCCCCCTTTCCTCCCCTTGTTTGCCACATGCTCAAAGCCTTGCTTCTTTTTTGAGATTCCCTGTTTCCATTCATTGTACTCAGGTCAGAAACCTGGGGGGTCATCATTGAGCTATTCTTCTCCCTTATCTCCCACATCTAATTAATCACCAGGTCCTTTCAATTCTTCATCTTTAAAATATATCTGTATTCTTCTCTACTGATTCTATTTCTGCTGTCATTTCCCTCTCTCAGGCCTCTACCATTTCTCTCCTGGATTCTTACAAGAGCTTCCTACTTGGTCCCAGTGATGCTCTCTTGGCTCTCTCCAACTTACTCTCCACACATATGCCAGAGGGTTCTTTATAAAATGCTGGACCAGTCTTGGCACTCTCCTTCTTAGCCTTTCAACACCTGCTTCTTGCTAATAGATTAGAATTTAAACTTTATAACGGTATCTCATGTCCCTGTGCATTCTGACTCCTGTGTGTCCGTCTGAGCTTTCTTTCTCAACTGTCCCACTACACCTATAGAGATATTAAATTTTTTTCTTCTTTGAATGCTCCGTGACTCTGAATTATGAGCCTTTACCTTTAGTGATATGAAGTTCTGTCTTAGGGGAATCCTCTTTCTTTCCTTGCTGCCCTAACTCTCTTTGCCCCATTCACACCCATTCTTCTAGTTCAGCTTAGACATTCTTCTGGGAGAATCTTCTTGACCCCCTATATCTAGATTAAGCATCCTTCCTATATTCTTTGATAACCCTCTTTACTTAAGGTTATCAAACTATATAGGAATCTTCTATACAATTATTCTTGTTTCACTGTATTTAAATTGTCTGTTTCCTGCTCTGTGCTTCCATTAGACTACAAAGCTTGATGCATGTAAAGACATTATTAATCTGTTTTTTACTAATTTCCTAACACTTTGTGTGTTATATATACTCTATAAGTAGAGTGGATGTTTAAGTTTATTCCACAAATAATTAATACAGTAGGAGCTAATATCGTCAATATGTAAACTATTTGAATAGATAGGCAAAGTGATATTTTTAAATGAAAATTTCAGTATTTCATTTTCTTGTTTAAAAACCTGTAAGACCTCCTCATTGCTTCACATAGAGATCCCAGCTCATAACACTGTGGATAAGATTTGGCCTCTGCATCCTCTTCAGTCCCTTCTTCTATCACTCCAGCTCTCCTCCTTCAAGCCATAGAGTGTTCTTCTCATGGTTAATTTCGCTTCACTGACTCAGTCTTCCTTATATCACCACCTGAGTTAGTCCTGCTGTTAAGGTTCTTAGAGTCCTTTTCACTCTGCCACCACTGTATTTACCTCTTTTTATTAATTATATGGTATGTGATAATTTGATGTTTATTACCTTGGTTCTCCCCCATTATTCTTTGAGCTACTTTCATAACTAGCACCTGGCACAAAGCCCAGAAGAGAATAGGTGCTCAATAAATATTTGTTAAAGCCTGAATGAATGATTGAAAATAAATTATAATATGTTTGCTATAAAAAGTAAGGTAACTATTTGAATCGGAACTTTTGACATCTTATTCCACAATTCATTTATTTAGATTGGTGCAAAAGTAATGGCAGAAACCCCAATGACTTGCATCAATCCAGTGAACTACTGTGGCCTGAGTCTTTATGCTAGCATCCCATCTATCACTGAGGTGTGTCTTCTTTAATTACAATACCTGTTCTGGTTACTGTCTCCTGTTTAACAGATTCTTCCAGAACCTAGGAACATAAAAAAAAAGAACGATTTTATTTTGATGATGACATTGTGGGTCAGGAATTTGGGAAGGCCTCAGCCAGTCAGTTCACTTTCGGGGTTTCTCATTTGGTTGTAGTCAGATGTCAGGTCACTCACTTGGCTGGCAGCTGATGCCGGCCGTTGTCAGTGAGCTCAGCTATGGCTGTCTACCGAGTGCCCCCACATGGCCTTGACAACATGGCAGTCTCAGAGCTTCTTATTTGCAGGCTGGCCTCCCCCGGAGCCAGCATCCCAAGGGATGTGGAAGCTGCATGACATTTTCTGCCCTAAGTTTGGAAGGCCCTCAGCATAACTTTGGTGAGGCAGTCATAAGCCTGCCCAGATTCAAGGGGAAGGGACATTGACCTCAACTTATTTTGGGCAAGTGTCAGAGAATTTGGGGCCATATTTTAAAACCTCCACTACTTAAGAGAAAAATCAAGAATGTGGTGAATTAGCTTTCGAGCCTGAATTTTAATTTTTTTAAAAAATTTTGTCTTTTCAATCATTTAATTAAATATTTCCAATTCATATCATTCTATTGGTAAATAACTTTGGTGGTGTGTTTTTTGTGCTTTATCTTTAAATAATTTAATAATACAGATTCATGTAGTTTTAAAGAAAACTTAGTGAAAGCTATTATCTTATAAAATTAAATATTTTAGGTAGTTCCACTGTAATTGAAATACGTCAAGGTGTCAGGGTCAGCTTCCAATAATTCTGATTAACAACACTTAATATTATTCTGTATAGCATAATTTCCTTTCCATTAGAGTATATCAAAATTACAGCTTCAGCTGTAGTTAAAATATTTGAAAAACTTAGGAATATCTTTGTTAATGAAAGGAGTTCATGTAACAGATTATTTTTGTAGTCTAGATATATTCTGTATAGAAATAGTGTTGTATCTAATGACACTGCAGAATTAACCATCCTGGTCAATCTTTGTGAAATTGGCCTACAGTTTGTTTGTGGTATTCTAGTTTGTGTGGGTGATGTTATCGTGTGATTCGTATCTTCTTGAATAGATAGCTGTTTATGTTTCCAGAAGCATAGATGTTGTCCTCGAGTTTCTTCCTGTTAGAGATCTGTATTCCCTGGAACAGAAGAGGCATATTGCTTTTATTATGTTTGCCCCACTCCACCTTTGCCCCCTGGCTCAGGTAACTAAATTCTGGGCTTTTTCATTCATGTGAATGACTAATCCCTTTTTAAATCTTTCTAAGCTATTTGCCTCAATAATATTCTCTACTGTAAGATTCAAAAGCTAATTATAGGCTACCTGGCAAATTGCTTCCCTTTTTGTGGTATTGATTCTTGCTTTATTTACTCACATGATTATTGGCCACACTCAGTATTCATGAAACTCATGAGCTCTGAGTTGTATGTGGCAAGTTTAATCACCACAGCTTTTCCCCCGGTTGCTTAACAATTTAAAACAGCAGGAAAAATGAAACAATTGCTTGTAAGCCATTTTTCCTAATGTTTAGAGTTTAGCGTATTATTAATTTATGTTCGTCTAAGTAGAGCTATTGGGTGAAATCACAGGTGACTCTGATATGGCCAGATTGTAGCCCATCTTTTTGAAAGTAATTAATTAATGAATTATTCATTCATTCATTGAGACAGTGTCTCACTCTGTTGCCTGGGCAGGAGTGCAGTGGCTCAATCATGGTTCACTGCAGCCTCTAACTCCCAGGCTTAAGCAATCCTCCCACCTCAGCCTCTCGAATAGCTGGGACTATAGGCGTGCACCACCATGCCTGGCTAATTATTTTTTGTTTGTTTTTAGTAGAGATAGAGTTCTGCCATGTTGCCCAGGCTGGTCTTATACTCCTGGGCTCAAGCGATCTAACCACCTGGGCCTCCCGAAGTGCTGGGGTTACAAGTGTGAGCCACTGCAATCAGTCCAGTTTTTTCATATGAATATATAACCAAAGTGGGAAAAGTGACTTTGATTCTCTTGCCAGAGATGCTCTTGGTGGAAAACAATAGGGGCAATCCCAAAATTCTCATTTAATCCTACTTTTAACTAGTTTTACTCTTAACTTCAGTGTTTTAATTTTCCTGTTATCATTTTTCCACCTCAAGATTTTTAAAAAATATTTTTCCTATGTTATCATTTTTCTTCCTCAAGATATTTTTTAAAACAAACACTTTGAAAACAATAGGCTCCTAAAATTAAAGAAAGAAGTATATTCCATGTGTCTTCAAGTGTTGGTGCTTTATGTTAAACTTATATGGTATATGTGTATGTGTGTATATATGTATACATAGACATATGTATACATACTGTTTGTCAAGTTCTCATGGTTATTTTTGTGTCACAAGGGGAATATTTGTTGATCTTAATTTTTACAAATCTAAGCCTAGTCATTTCCAGTTAAGTTCATGTATTACCGGCGTAGTTTCTTCCCTCCCTCACTCCCTCCCTCCCTCCCTCCCTCCCGCTCTCTCTCCTTTCCTCCCTTCCTCCCTGTCACCTGGGCTGGAGTGCAGTGGTGTAATCTTGGCTCACTGCAACTTCCACCTCCTGGGTTCAAGCAATTCTCCTGCCTCAGCCTCCTGAGTAGCTGGGATCACAGGTGTGTGCCACCATGCCCAGCTAATTTTTTGTATTTTTAGTAGAGATGGGGTTTCACTATGTTGGCCAGGCTGCTCTCAAACTCCTGACCTCAAGATCCACCTGCCTCGGCCTCCCAAAGTGCTGGGATTATAGGTGTGAGCCACCACGCTTGGCCTATTTATTTATTTTTTTAGATAGATTCTTCATAGTGATTCTCTTGCCTCAGCCTCCCGAGTAGCTGGGACTACAGGTGTGTGCCACCACACCCAGCTAATTTTTTGTGTGTGCTTTTTCTAGAGATGGGGTTTCACCATGTTGACCAGGCTGGTTTTGAACTCCTGGCCTCAAGTGATCCACCTGCCTGGGCCTCCCAAAGTGCTGGGATTACAGGTGTGAGCCAATGTATCTGGCCTCAGGTGTAGCTTAAATCAACCAGAATAGATAACCCTTGGGTTTACCTTTCTTTTGTTCTTAGTTTTTATTATATCACCTTTTGACTCATGGAGGCTTTTCCTTCGAGATGAAGGGAAAGCTTAGAAGGAATGCTAAGCAGGAAAACCCTGAAAGGATAGTAATTTTTTCCTGATACTTTGCTCGTTTTTTTGTTTGTTCTCAAGATTTGTTAAAACAAACTGTTCATACATGCTTTTCTCTTTAAAATCACTAGTATATCTACAAACTAAAAACTTGGAATCAGAATTTTCCATCCTACTTAAAAATCATCCAAATGAAGAGCTTCAGAGGGAGTTATTAACTCTTTTTAAAAATAATATAAAACATTAACACTTTCTGACTAGTTGCCAGATTAACATCAGGGAAAGTACAAATGTACTAGCTGAATTTCAGCCACAACCTTTGCATACTTGACAGATGAGACACCAAAGTAAGTATAATGATTTAGAAAGCACAAGCAACAGTGCATACTTGTGCATCTCTTTGCCTGTATGAGGTGTCTTTTCAGTTACAATAATTGTTAAAACAAAGTATTAAAATAAATTGAACATGGACCTTTGAAGCTTAGGATCACTAAATGCTGAACAAAGATTATAAAATAATGAAGCCAGTTCTAAAACAATGCTTTCACAATTACTGGTGTCAGCAAAATGTTTTATATCATTAATTCATGTATTAAAATTAAGATGCTGAAAAAATCATGGGAGCATTTAGATTGCTCTGTTCTAATATGCTTTTGGCTTATTACAATCTAAATGGATTTGACAGAGCTCTGTTGGTTTGCTTAGGGTGGTAAGGAGGTCAAGGTCAAGCAGGCAGTCTCCTCACAGCCTCATTAACAACATGCTGACCTGTGGCCATAAATTACCCTTAACCGTGCACAGTCATATCATAAAGTGTCTGCTTCTGGTCATAAGACTGTGACTGAGACAAGATGGAGGAATTACTGTTAATCTCATCACCTCTTCTGAAAAAACAAATTGAAGCACATGTTCAGGTTATTAGGGAGTTGCAGAGATTTTACATAGAGAAATCTTTTCTTCCACTGGCTAAGACTTTCCTTCTTTTTACTGTGGTCAAACCTTGGTAGATCTGTTCTCTAGTATACAGTTGGTTTAAGAAAATCAAAAGGGAGGAGAGCTGGCGTATTCTTATTCTGTTAAAGATAAAATGATACAAACATTAAAAAAATACTGAGCACAAAATATTTGCTTAGCACCATGCTAATCATTATGATAAAGATAAACAATGTGTCCCTATAGAATAGTCCATGGTCCAGCTTCTTAGAAACTTTAGAGCTTTAGTAGGTTAAAATAAAGCTCTCCAGGCAAATATGGGGCCATGTATATGAATAAATTGTGTTACAGGATTCCTTCTGTGCTGCTTCACCAGTCAGAAATCTCTTTGGCCACTGCTGCCTCTGCCTGGACCTCGCTCAGGGACTTCTGGGCTTGCTCCACCTGCTTAGCCCGGCAGGCTGCATTCCGCTTGTGCCCCAGACCAGATCCTGTGCCCACCGTGGCTCTGCGCTCAGCCCATGGATCAACCAGGCATGCTGTGAGCGGCTTCCACCTTGGGTGCCAGCAACTAGATGAGGGGAATGCGGTGGTGCCTGATAACTCAGAGATGCCAGCAGTCGTGGAGCCCCAAGGGGGGTTACAGTTCTCGCTTGTGGAGTCCCAAGGTCTGAGTCCCCAAGAAATGTTACAGCTCTTCAATCCCATAGCTCAGTGAGTGGGAACGTGTTACAGCTTTCTTTTTCCCATAGTCTGACAAGCGGGAGTGTGCTGCAGCTCCTTTATTCTCGTCGCCCACAGCTCAGTGGGCAGAAGGGAGGGTTACAGATCATTCATTCCTGGTGCCTGCAGCTCAGTGAATGAGAGGGTTACAGCTCATTTGTTCTCACTGCCCACAGCTTGGCAAGTCTGGGCTGTTGTCCCCTGACCAAGAGGAATAAGGTACGTGGACACATGGACACCAGAGAGTGAGTAAGGCAGAGAATAATTTTATTGAGCAACAGAAGCAAAGCTGTCAGCGGACAGGGCACCCTGAAAGCAGATCCCCTTTCTGCCTGTGTGGCTGAGTCCAAGGTTTTTATGGGCTTGGAATGGGGGAATGCAAGCTGATTGGTCCATGGGTGGTCTTTGGAAAAAGCACCATTTGATTGGCTAACAGGTATCATCCAGAAGAAACCAATAGAGAGAGAGAGTGTAAGATGGTGATAGAAGTTCTCACTCTGGTCATTGACTCTATCCAGAGCTGGCAGTTTCGTTTTCAGGCTTCAGGCTGTCTTGGCTTGAAGGTCGGGTTTCACCAAGGACCTGACCCTGTCTGCCTACAAATTTGTCTGTCTCTTGTTATTATCAATTGTGTGATGCTGATTGTTGACTTAAGGTGTTCTAGGAAGAGAAAGCTGTCTTTGTAGGAGTAGAAAAAGTTAGAACTTGGCTATTGTCTGAAAAATGGTTGTTGCTGCACAGGGAGGGTAGGAGAAAGGAGTTAGGCGTGGGCAGCTCTCTAAGTGAGCAAGCATGTGGAAATAGGGTGTGCAAGTGACCATGACTGGAAAGGGGTTTAGAAAGGCAGTGTGGCAAATACAGGTAGAGAGATGAGAGCGGAATGGTGACAGCAAGAGTCAGCAGAACAAAGATACCAGCGTGGCGCAGAGCACCAAAGGCAGAAGGACCTGAGCAAGTGTGCAAAGCCTGGGGTGGGCATAGGCATGGCATGTTTTGAGAACTGAAGGAGGCAATGAGGTTGCAGCAGCACAGAGAGCAGAGGGGAATCTGAAAGAGATGACTTACAAAGGTAATAGGGTCAGATAGTATAGATCCTCCATGGAAATTATACTTTATTTCAACTATGATGGTAAATCTTCGGACAGTTTGCTTGAGCTGTAACATGACAATTAGTGCTTTAAGAAGATTCTAGCTTCTGTGTGGAGAATGAATTGTGTTTAAGGGTTGAGTTGGCAAGAGTAGAAGCAGGGAAATGGGTTAGGAGGCAATTGCAGTAGTCAGAGGTGACAGTGGTTTGCACTAGTGTACAAGTGGTGGAGATGGCTCTGTCTCATGTCCTGTCACTTACTGGATCTTTGCCTTTAAAAAGTGTTGGAAGTGCATTGTCTTTAGTATAGCAGAACGTCCTTGCAGCCTTTCTATTGAGACATGCTAGGTTTTACAAGTCTGTGTATCAGCTGCAGTTTTTATCTTTCAAGCAACGTAGGATTAGCCTCTGTTCAACTTGATTCTCTCATATTTTACCCATCTCGAAGGGATTTTTTGTTTGTTTGTTTTTAATGTTTGGTTTCAGAGACATGTAAAAAGTCACTGGCCAAAAAATTTGGAAACATCTTTTGCGAAGATGTCCATAATTATTTCACTGATTGTCAGAATCAGTTTTTTCAAAAACGTTGAGCCACCCTCTGCTTCTCAATAGTTTGCAATTTGCTTTTTTTCAGTCTTTCGTTAATTTGATGCTCAGCAGTTTATCTTCATTACTTTTTAAAACAAATAGGAACTACCTACCACCCTCCCCTTCCCAGAAATAACAAAGGTCTTACTGGCCAACCTTCAGTTCTAAGAGAATGTTATTGGAATTTTTTGGTAATTCTATTTAGTTCTTGTTTTTAGTTTGTTGAATTGTTTTGGATAAGTCATTTGCTTCCCCAGTTAATTCCTATTTAATTACACATATTCCTCTCTTCCTTCTAATTCTTTTTTTATATAACAGTGTTCCCTTCTGGTGTAAGTTCCACATCCTCTACCTTTAATGACAAAGGCCTTGGGGTCATGGCTTAACCATACAATAGCTGTTTTGATCGTGCCTGTCCTTTTCTTTGTTTTTGGTTAGAGTAGAGTGATAAAGTAACAACTTAAACAAAGATTTTTTGTTGATTTTATGCTGAATGACTGAGTTGCCCCTCCCTCCATACTTTGATTTGTTAATTTCATAGAGTCCTGAAATTTCCCTCTAATTACACTCTATATTGATCATAAAACCAGTAGTATTTCAGTGGGAGGTAGTAAAATGTCAGTGTGATTTTAAAAAAATTTATGAGAAAGCCTCAAGTATTTGTCTTTAAAATAGATATGTTCCATGTGCATGTTGTCTGTATTTTAGAAGAACATAAACTCTGTACGTTTGTTTAATTACTGATTTCTCAGTTTTCTCTGCATATCTGGATAAATGTAATTTAAGGAGCAGTAATTTACTCAATTTAAAATATTTTCAAATTAGATGGTGTGAGCAGTCACAGACACTATATGGTGCTTAAGAATACTGTTTATAATGTTTGTGAAAAAATTGATAAAAATTAAAGTAATTAAAAAATTTGATTTTATATTTTATGTTTAAAACAGTCATTAAATTTGTAATATCTCATTAAATTATTTACAGGGTATTTAACTGGAATTTTTCCCCATGTGAACACAAAATATCTGAGACGGGTTTCAGTTAATTTAGAAAGTTTATTTTGCGAAGTTAAGGATGCACTGTGGCATATCCCCAGGAGGTCCTGACAATAAGTGTGTCCAAGGTGGTCGGGGTACAGCTTGCTTTTATACATTTTAGGAAGACATGAGACATCAATCAGTATGTGACCAAACATTGGTTTGGTTGGGGGGGCGGTGACTTTCAGGCCATAGGTAGATAAGAGACAAAAGATTACATTCTTTTGAGTCCTTGATCAGCCATTCACTGAATATACAATTTAGTCTGGCTCAGTGAATCTGCCTTTTTACATAAACAGCAAGGCAGAGAAAGCAATCAGATATGCATTTGCCTCAGCTGAGCAGAGAGATGACTTTCTGTCCTGGACTTGTGAAGATACGCTATCATATATTGCCAGGGTGAAAATCAACACAACTGTTTAACATAGAGTAAAGATCTTGGCCGAGGGCGGTGACTCATGCCTATAATCCCAGCACTTTGGGAGGCCGAGGCAGGCAGACCACTAGGTCAAGAGATAGAGACCATCCTGGCGAACGTGGTGAAACCCTGTCTCTACTAAAAATACAAAAAAAAAAAAAAATTTGGCCGGGCGTGGTTATGGGCACCTGTAGTCCCAGCTGCTCCTGGGGCTGAGGCAGAAGAACCACTTGAACCCGGGAGGCAGAGGTTGCAATGAACCGAGATCGCGCCGCTGCACTCCATCCTGGCAACAGAGCGAGACTCTGTCTCAAAAAAAAAAAAAAAAAAAAAGATCTTGAGGCCCACAAGGAATTTCCTTGTGGGCAAATTGTGAGGGAGGTATGTAGCTATGTAGCTTTTTTATTTTTGTAGCTATCTTATTTAGGAATAAAAGGGAAAGAAGGTTTGCCTGATGTACTTTCCAACTTGACTTTTCCCTTGGCTTAGTGATTTTTGGGGTCCTGAGATTTATTTTCCTTTCACACTCATATTCATCTTTCTGTCAAGAATCAACTCACTTCAAAGTAAATTCAATGTTTGCAAGAAGTTTCTCTGTAAATGTGATGGGATTTAATTTTTGAATCATGACAGTTTAGCATTTTTCCTCAAAAGTACCAACTTTACTGAAAAATAGAAGATATTTCATAGGGTAATACAAGATACTTTTTCAATATTTATCTCACTTTCCAGATACTTGGATATTTTCTATAGCAAAAATGTGGTCATTGGTACCTCACGTATGGGAAAATTCTGTAGTCTAATCCCCACCCCCAGCCTCCAAAAAAAAAAGGATTCCTGCATTGAATTTTGTTTCAGTAACACATTTTACATAATAACTTATAATCATTGCCGTTTTATAGATCATTTATTAATAATATATTTACATATGAGTCTATGCTAGATCTTGCCTGAAAACAAAGTATTAATAAACAATTGCTTTATGTGCCTACCCTCTAAAGGCATTTGGTTTCTAGATGATATGCAAACACTGGTTTCTCAAGTCATCTTTGGTATATAATTGATACATTTATAAAGTAAAATATGTCAAAAGTTGATGACTTTATGGTATGTGAAAGTAATTTACTCACTTCCTGGTGAGAAGAATAGGAATGGGGTTGCATTATTCACCTGTGTTACCTTTGATGAGTACATTGAAGAGCTGTGAAGGGAATTCATTCATCTTTCCTTGGCTAGCAGGTTTGCTGCTGGTTCATGAAAGGGAAAGAAAAGGGAAGAAGCACATATAGGTGTCACAGTAAAAGGATCACTTCATAGAGTAATTTGTTTTAAGGAAAAGCTTTCTATATATTTCTTCTTCAACGCTCCCCCCTCAACCACAAATAGAGGTTCTTAACTTGAGAGTCTATTTATTTATTTATTGTCTTCAGAAGGGTCATAAATGCTCAGAAATTTTATGTAAAATCAATTTTTATCTTATGAGTGGGCCCATAACATTTATTAAGTCTTTGGACCATTACCCAAAAAGGTTTAGAGCCACTGGTTTTAAAAGGCTTTTGTGTCTTGTGATGTAGAGACAATCAGATTCTGGTAATTATTTGGTTTTCATGGTAACTAAGATGTGGGATAGAACTCCGACTGTGTACTTTATTTAGTATACAGAGGAGGACACAAACATGAGAAGATTAAGGTAGAGAGTGAAATATGGTCAGGACAAATGTGAATTTAGAGCCTGAGTGATGGTTTAGTGGATTTATGTCCTCACTTGTCACTAATGAAAAGGACCTTACAGGTTATATAATTAAAGGTAGATACTAAATACTGAAACTAATACCAGTCATTCTATTCCATCTTCTGTGGTAGGCTTCACTTTCATAAGGGTGTGGGGGAGATACCTAACGATGTTTTCACCCCTAGTGAAATTAATTGATAATTTCCTATGGTGCTTTGTGGCTATATTTCAAATGCAGTATTTTCTTACTGGCTCAGTAGGAAGAGGCTTGGAGTTAGATGATTTGGGTTTAATCTTTGCCCTGTAATAACTATAAGACTCTTGGAAAAGATACTTAATGGGTTAGTGTCTTAGTCTGTGCTGCTACAACAAAATACTGAGACTGGGTAATTTATAAATGACAGAAATTTATTGCTCACAATTCTGTAAGCTGAGAGTTCAGCATCAAGGCACCAGAAGATTCACTGTCTGGTGAGGGCCTGTTCCTCATGCATGGCACCTTCTATGCATCCTCACGTGACAGAAGGGGCAACACAAGCTCTCTGAAGCCTCTTTTGTAAGGATATTTATCCTGTTTATTAGGGTAGAGCCCTCCATCACCTCCCAAAAGCCCCACTTCTTAATACCATTCACCTTTGGTGTTACATGAATTTTAGGGAGAAGCAAACATTCACACCACAGCAATAAGTTAAATCATTTTGTATTTTTATAGGTACAAACAAATTACTGGAACAGAGAAAAGTGCTAATAATGAGACCCACTTGTGTATGGGAACTTGGGATATAATTGTGGTTGTGCTATAGTCAATAAAATAGAGTGGCCAGGCATAGTGGCTCACGCCTGTAATTCCAGCACTTTGGGAAGGCAAGGTGGGTGGATCATTTGAGCCCAAGTGTTCGACAGCAACCCGGGCAACATAGAGAAACCCTGTCTGTACAAAAAATACAAAAAAGTAACCAGGTGTGGTGGTGCATGCCTGTAGTCCCAGCTACCAGGGAGACTTGAGGTGTGGGAATCACCTGAGACTGTGAGGTCAAGGCTGCAGTGCGTTGTGATCACACCTCCAGCCTGGACAACAGACTGAGACCCTTTCTCAAAAAAAAAAAAAAAAAAAAGAAAGAAAGAAAATAGAGTGGAGGGGAGGGGACATTTCAATAAAGGTGCAAGGATGGTAGGCTTTCCATATAAAAAATTAGGTTTTTTTTAATCTCATCATATGGAGAAATGAAGTCCAGATATGTTAAAGACCTAGATGTGTAATCAAATTTTAAGTGTACTAGTAGAACTGATTTTCTGATGTCTGTATAACCTTAGTATGGAAAAATATTTCTTAGAACCTGAGAAATACAACTCTGAAAGGAAATGACTCAGCTTTATTCCCTCTAAGCAAAGAATTCCTGCAGGGGGAAAATGATACTATAAACTGAGACAAAAGACAATTCACATCTGGGAAAATAGTTTTATAATATATGTAAGACATAAAAGGTTATTATCCATAGTATATACAAACTCATACAAATCAGTAAGCAAAAGACAAAGCACCCAATAGAAAAGAAATGCAAAGTTTAATGACATTAATGGCCAATAAATGTATACAAAAAAGCTCATACTCATTCTTAGGTCACATGATCCATACTAATAGGATAATTTAAATCAGCAAAACCAGATAGTGTCTCACACTTAAAAGTGCAAGATCCAAAAGTCTGGTGTGTACCAAGTGCTGGTTAGGATAGGGGAAAAAGGGATGTTCACACACTGTTTGTTCCCAGAAAAACTCCTGCACTTGTGTAAGATGTGTGTATGAGAATATATACTCCAACATTATTGGGAACAAATTTCTGTTTTTCTCTTTTTATTTTTAATTTTTGCGGATACATAATAGGTATGTATATTTATGGGTTATATGAGATGTTTTCATACAGGCATGTAATACTTAATAATCACATCATGGAAAATGGTATATTCATCCACTCAAGCATTTATTCTTTGTGTTACAAATAATCCAATTATACTCTTAGTTATTTTGGAAGTGAATTTCTATCATTAGGAAATGTGTGAGAGAACTCTGATATATTAATAAAGTAGAATATTCAACTGCACATAATTTTAACTAAATCTCTACATATTAACATGATATATGTATTGAAAATACAATATTAAGGAAAAGAAGATCAAGTTTCAGAATTAAAGCAGTTTCAAAGCAGTGGAATTTTAAGGACACATAAAGCCACAATATATTGTTCAGAGAAATGTGTATAGTATAGTAAAAAAAACATAAATCAGATTTATGAATGTCTAGCTCTGGGAAGGAAGAGAGAGGTAGCAAGGAATTATATTCTTTATCTCTAAGGTTGTACTTTTTATATAAAAAACCAGGAAGCAGAATGATAAAATATTAACATTTATTAATAAAGGGGTGTTGTGAACATGGTTATGTTACATTAATCAACTTTTTGGTATTTCTTTGATTTTTGGCAAATAAGTGCTGCAAAGATCTGAATGTTTGTTTCCTCCCAAAATTCATGTGTTGAAACTCAGCCATCAATGCAATAGTGTTAAGAGATGAGGCGGGCCTTTGGGAGGTGATATAGGTCATGAAAGCTAATTTCTTTCATTGCCTTTTAAAATGAATTCTAGATATGTCACAAAGGTAGAAATGATCTTCTCCATTAGAGGAGTATAATTCAGATTGCATTCCTCAATTACCCTTCCAAGTATAAATAATGCATTTGTTTTCTCTGCCAGGCTGGCATTAGTCTTGATTTGTAACTTTTCCTATTTACAAAGCCAAAGATTGCTATTTCTATAAATGCCTTACCTTCTTTTGTGACCTTGTTTTTTGGTGATTGTCAGGTTGACCCTTTTCCTCCCACATCAAGAAAGTTTTGTGGTTAGAAGAAAGGGAGGGCAACCATCAGGCAACAGACTTCCTTTGATGTCATATTCAAGTACTGATCTTAAGCTGTCCTTTGGGTTTTTACAAAGATACTCTAATGCATGGCTTCCATCTGATCCCTTCCTCCAGCTGTCTTCAGCCTTTGCTTTAATGTATTTTGATTATTGTATGCCCTATCTTTATGTTAGTAATCATGCTTAATCATTTCAAATAGACTTTTTAAAAGTTGAATTAAACCAATAATTGGTGCAATAGCTTTCTTTTTGTGTTTATTCAAAAGAATTTTATAAGGTTATCTCTTCCCTGTCTTATGTGAAAGGCTGGCAGACATTTTCTGTAAAAGGCCAGACAGTACATATTTTAGGTTTTGTAGGCCAAGAGGCAAAATGAAGAATATTATGTAGGTACTTGTAATACAAGAGAAAAGACAAATTTCCACATATTTTATTGAGAAAATTGAAAATATAATAGTATTAGTAATAATAAAGTATCTTGAAATTTGTAATATAGATTTACTAATGTAAATAATAGAATTATTTCTTTTGAGATAATGTTTTGCTTGCCTGGGGTTGAACATTAATGTTTCCTGTCATCAGTGTTAATTGTAAATATTCATCTGTCGTACTGATCTGTGTTGAAATGTTACATATTTCATATTTAAAACATCTTTTCACACATACAGGTTTTGCCGAATATAGATATTAGTCTACTAGCATGTATGCACATTCATAATTTGGACGTTTTTTATACGATTCTTTAGATTCATCTCTTGATATTTGCCTTTTAGAATTTCATTACAGTGCAGAATACTTCCAATTGAAAATTAGGTGGAAGCTCCTCAGTTGCACAGTCAAATGGATTTTTTAAAAATTCCTTATTGAAATATGTTTCACATATCGTATAGTTCACATATTTAAAGTGTATAATTATTATTTTGTATATTCACAGGATATGAGACCAGTATCACTACCTAATTTTGAAACTTTTTTTATTCCCCCTAAGAGAAATCCCATACCCATTATTCATCATTCCCTGCCCTCACCCCAGGCCTCCTATCCCCATCCTAAGAAACCATGAATCTAGTTTCTGTTTCTATAGAATTGCTTTTCCTGGACATTTTATATAAACAGAATCATGCAATATGTGGTCTTTTGTAACTGACAAATGGATTTTGAAATAAGGAAATTTCAAGGTCCAAAAAATGCTGTTGGAATGTTGAAATCATAAATTGAGCTCAGAAAATGTGTCTACTGCAAATTAGTGTGAAAACGGAGATCTTGCTTCTTGTTTTTTTAAATGATTATTTGCTTATTTTTAGAGACAGAGTCTGGCTATGTTGTCCAGGCTGGCTTTGAACTGCTAGGCTCAAGTGATCCTCCTGCCTCAACCCGTGGAATAGCTGGGACTATACCTTGCCTGGCTCTTATTTTAATTTTTGACAGGATGAGAAGGTGATATAGAAGCTCAACACTTGAATCTTGTGATTCAAATATTAGTTGTTACAATGATTTTACTGCAATATTAACTTGTACATTCTGCGGTTTGTTGTGATTTTAGATTGGATTAATTAACATACATTAGAAAGTCTGCAGCAAAAGCTAATTTCCAAAGCCGTTAGATTAAGTGTCCCCAATCCAGGGATCAATCCCCGGACTGTTAGGAACCAGGCCACATAGGAGGAGATAATGCTCGGGTGAGCGAGCATTACCACCTGAGCTCCGCCTCCTATCAGGTCAGCGAAGGCATCAGATTCTCATGGGAGTGTTAACTGTATTGTGAACTGCACATGCGAGGGATCTGGGTTGCACGCTCCTTATGAGAATCTAATGCCTGATGATCTGAAATGGAACAGTTTCATCCCAAAACTATCACCCCTGACCCCCATCCATGGAAGAGTTGTCTTCCATGATACCAGTCCCTAGTGCCAAAAAGGTTGGGGACCACTGCATTAAATGGTCTATGGCAGTTTTTCGTATTCTGAAAAGTTTCAACCTAAGCTCAAAATACTGCAATAAAACTTTACGACTGCTAACTCATCAAATTACTGGCTAAGGCACATCAGGATATTCAGCTTCTACTCATGACAGAATTCACAGAATGATTGTTAAATCCATGAAAGCAAATGAATTTTATAAGTGACACTGTTGGTTCAATAACACATGATAGATTTGAGTATTTTTCACAAAGTACCTGCTGATAAGTAATACAGTGAATAACCACAACCGTTAAAAACCCAAAATGTTCACTAGCTTTTTAAATTTGTCAAACTAAGCCTTTTTCTATCCTACATTTTTGCCACCATCCATTTTAACACATTTTAGCAGATTCTACTTGAGATTGTACTGAATTTGTGTTTTCTCAATTTGTTTAATCTTTAAACTTCTCTAATTAAAGTTCTTTAATCGTTAACACCTTTAATCTTTGCCTATAGTTATTCCACAGAGAATGTTCATTCATAGAGACTGATTTTCCAGGTCACTTCAAACTCAGCATTGACTCCTCAAATAAACAATAACAGTTAAGCCGTATCTGTATGTCAGTTGACATGTAAAGAGCCAAGGAAAACAACTTGAAATCATTTGCCTTGTTTTTAAATTGCATGTTAATGTTGCTTCCAAGTTTTGCAGCTCTTTGAACAGGGGTATCACCAAAATGCTAATAGTCTTAAACCAGTTTATTTTTTTATAAGCATATATCTGCTACAATATAATTTAATTTGCTTGTCTAACAAATGTGCCATTTGAAAAGTTACTTTGGTGCAGCTTCATTTTGCATGTTTACATTTTGTGAAGTTCTGTGTGATGGAATTTTTTTTTAATTTACTATTTTTTAAACCGTCACTTTACTTTTAGTTGGCAATATTTTGATGAGCGCTTATGCTAGTAATGTTGTCATGTATTGTATTCTTTTAGTATAACTACAGTCTCACTGCATAATAAACAAAGTTATTTGCCATGTAATTACGTAGCAAAATAATCCACACTCCATTGTGCCTTCAAAGCATGACACTTGAAGTTTATTTATCTTCTTTCTTCTTTTGACGTATGCAATAGTAATGAGAAAAGTAATGCAAGAGTCATGGTAAGGTAATATGCATGGCACTCCAAATGCTGTCAAGTTTTAACTGTCACTGTGATTCATAGTGAACTGAGCAATGGTGGGAATCAATGAGAATGTCACCTATGATCTCCATCACAACTCAGCTCTGCCATTGTCACACAAAAGCAGCCATAAACAGTGCATAAATGATGAGCATGGCTATGTTCCAATAAAGCTTTATTTGTAAACACTTAAATTTGATATAATTTTCATGTTATCAATTATTACTATTCTTTTCATTTTTCTATTTAACCATTTAGAAAGGTAGAAATCATTCACAGGTCGTAGGCTGTACCAAACAGGCAGCAGGTTAGATGTGGCCCATGGACCAAATAATTTACTGAACTCTGTCCTATATTATTGATTTTTCTCTTTATTGGATCTTTCTTCTTAGCATACAAACCAGCTGTTATTGTTCTCTGCTTGAAAAAAAAAACACCAACAAAATAAAGACAACAAAACCCCCCTTGTAGGGCTCCATTTTTCCTTGCAGCTAGTGTTCCTCTTGTGTGCTTTCTTTATAATGTTTTGCAAAAGTTGTCTCCACTCCCATCTCTTATTTCCTTTCTTTCCATTTTCTCTTGAACCCATTTCAATCAAGCTTTGCCTCTACCTCTCCACTGTAACTGCTTTTGTAAGTATCTGACACAATTTATCACTCTATCCTCCTTGAAATACTTTCTTCACTTGACTTCAAGGACACCATAGTCTTCATTTTCTTCATTCCACACTGGATATTTATTTTATGATTTGTTGTTAATTAATCTCCTTCTGAATTACTTCTTAACTTTTGTTTTAACTCTTATAAGTCTTGGTCCTTTTATCTTCTCTATGTATGCTCACTACTCTTATTATCTTATCCAATTTCTGGTAAGTATTCTGTATCTGCCACTGGCTTTCTAATTTATATCCCGAGCTCAGACAGTTTCATGGAACTCCAGACTTGTTTATACATCTATGTAATATATCTGCAATTGATTTTATAAGAGATATCTCAAATTTGACATCTCAAAAACTCAGTTCTTTTATATTTCCCTGTAAACCTGTTTTATTTATAGTTTTCACCATTTCAGTTGATGGCCATTCCATTTTTCCAGTTGCTTAGACCAGAACTTTGGAATAAACTCTGACTCTTCTTTCTGTCATAGCACATTCTTATTTTTCATGTGTGATTGTTAGATCTACCTTTAAAATATAACCAGAATTGAGCCACTTCTCACCATTTCCCCTGCTACCACTGTGAACCATGCCACCATCATTCTCACCAGGAATCTAGCAGTAAAATCTTAACTATTCTCCCTGCCCTAGTACCTTTGTAGAGTGATCTCAAGAGTGAAGCCAAATTGGGCATGGTGGCTTACGTCCGTAATCCCAGCACTTTGAGAGGCTGAGGTGGGAGGATTACTTGAGGCCAGGAGTTCGAGACCAGCCTGAGCAACAAAGCAAGACCCCATCTCTACAAAAATAAAAATAAATAATTAGCTGGGCACAGTAGCTCATTCCTGTAGTCCTAGCTACCCGAGAGGGAGGTGGGAAGATCACATGACCCCAGGATTTTGAGGTTGCAGTGAGCCAAGATCACACCACTGCAAAGCCTGGGTGACACAGTGAAGCCAGAGAGATCATTTAAAAATGTAAGACCTGACATGTTGCTCTTTTACAATGTCTCCTCAGAGTAAAGGCCAAAGATCTTGCAGTGGCCTGCAATTCCCTGTGTGATCCATGACTCTGTTCCCCCACCCTGTTTCCTTTCTGACCTCTCTGACTCCATTTTCTATTCCTCCTGCCATTGCTCACTCAGAACCAGCTTCTCGGACTCTTTGCTCTTTCTCACATCAAACCCATGTCTGCATTAGGACCTTTCCAGTAGCTGTTCATCTTTCCCATAATATTTACATGGCTAGCTCTTAATCTGTTTCCAGTCTGTGCTCAAATATCAATTTCTCCTAGTGGCCTTCTTTTAGCAACCCATGTATACATGCTACCAACCCTCATCCCCCCCATACCAGCATTCTTCTTCCTTGTTTAATCTGCTGTATTTTTTCATGGCTTTATTATCTTCTAATAATGATGTGTTTTATTTATTATATTCATTTTTGTTGTCTTTTTCTCCCCGCAAGGCTGTAGGCCATGAGGATAAGAATTTTGTTTGGTTTTGTTGATTCATGAGGCCTGAGTGCTTGACATGTAGTAGGTGATCAACAGACATTTGTTTTAAATAGTATCTTGAAGACAATTTTGTAAATCATTTTTTCTATATCTAGAATTGTAAGATTTTAGAGCTGGAAGGGATTTTATGTTATAAATAGTTTCTAAACCTGTGCTAATAGCCACATGGTACTATTCAAATGTAAATTAAAATTAAGTAAAGATTTAGTTCCTCAGTCCTAGTAGCAACTTTTAAGGGCTCTTGTGTTCAGTGGCTGCTGTATTTGACCACTCAGGTATAGCACTTTTCTGTCATACCAGAAAGCTCTATTAGACAGCCCTGGGCCCATGGATTCCCCAAGGTCATACAGGTCATTAGTCCATGACTGATATTGAACCCAGGGGACTCAAATGATTTATGAAAATTACAGAGTATTCCTTCTCATATAAATGCCCTGGGGATCTTGTTAACATTGCAAATTCTGATTTACTAAGCCTGAGATGGGGCCTATACTTTTACAATTCAAACAAGCTACAAAGTAATGCCAGTAATGCTGACCTGCAGCATCACACTTTGAGTAGCAAGGCTGTAGAATGCTCTAAAATATTAAGGAATAACTCCTTTTAACATTTTAAGTAGGACATGTATTCATTTTTACCGCAAAGGTATGTTTTGTAATTAGAATAATGTTTCCTAATAAAACTAGGTGAAACCTTAAATACTGGTTTTGTACAAAGCTACATATATTAAAACATGTTTTCTATTCCCAAATGAAAACTTGATAAATAATAGTCAAGCAGGAGAAAATAAGAAACTAAGAGGCTATAGAACATTGATTTTAAGAATGTACTTGACATAGGCTGGTTTGTGGTTTATATTTCTAATGCTGTGTAGATGTAATGGCTGTTCTGCTAACATCTATAGCAAGATACTGGATTCGGTTAGCTTGTTCTAGTGTATTATATAATAAAAGTTTAGAATAGTGAGAAGAGGGGAGGTTTTTCTTGTTGAAATTGACTTGTTCCATTTTGTTTCAGAATGTGGATTTGATCTTGGAAAGTATGGTACTATCTTTTGAATGATAAAAGTACATTGAATTTTTCTGTTCCAAATTTTGTAAAGAATAATTCTTTAGCAGAACATTCTTTGTTGTAATGATTTTTTTTGTCAAATTCTAATTGTAAAGTAATTGGATTACTTTAATAAATTACTAGTTAGTAAATGTAATAAATTTACTTTAAATAAATTTAATAAATTTATCCTTAGTTGCTTATGCAGATGACCACTCATCTTTTACCTAAAACGATTTATGTCTTTGATGATGTTACATTTAGATATCAGAAAAAGACATTGCCATGAAGCTGTCTAAATTTTCCAATGTAATAGAATATTTGTTCATTTTATAGACTGAGAAACAACTGTCAGTGCTCTTGCCTATAGTAGTATTATTGGCAAATTTATAGAGCATAATCAAATAAAACATTTTGTAATAATTGAGTTCAAATAGTAAAATATACTTGATATATGAACTTTCTTTTGGTCTCTACTGCTGGCCAGTTATGCCTAAAGTTGACTTACTATCAGAAACGCATGAGGCATCTATTAAAAAATAGATTCCTGAGGTCTTGCCCCAAGAAATTCTGATTTAGTAATTCTGGGATGTGTCCCAGGAATCTGTATTTTTACAAGTATCTTGGGTTTTCTGACTAAGCGAACAATATAAATAGAGTGCCTAGAACAATAACTGGCAGATAGTAATTACAAGTAAATATTAGATCTTCTCCTCCCCTCCCGTCCTTTCCACTAAAATTATTATCATTAGCCCATCTGTTAACCAAACTTTGGTTAGGTTTTCCTTTCTTTGATGAAGAGGCTTAGGAAATATGAGAGAATAAGATCATTCCTCAGTTGCGCAAATATTCACTGAGGGCTTTCTAGTTGTGGCACGCACTATTCCAGATCTTGGCAGTGCAAAGGTGAACCTGACATGTTTTTAAGTCAGGGAATTGTAGCCTATTCGGGTAGATATATAAGTAAAATCACCTGTCTTACAGTGTAGTAGGTGCTACATTAGAGCTAGGTGCAGGTGCTGGGCGGCACATAGGAAGGCCGGGTAGGCCAGCTGTTTGTCAGGGAGAGTTTTGTAAGGAATAGTGAGGCCTCAGATGAGATCTAAGGGTAAGTAGGAGTTAGCCAGATAAAGAAGGGGCTGCGTAAAGAGTGTGTCAGGGCTAAGAGTGCCACAGCTGAAAGAGCATACTTCTTCAGTGAATTGCAGTGGCTCAGTAGAAGCAGGAGATCCTCTGGAGAGGTGAGTGGGAATTCGAGCCATTAATCTATGACAAGGAATTGAGGCCTTTATTCTGCAGGTAGTGGGCAGTGATTGAAAGTCATTGAAACAACATTTTGCATTTGAGAAAACAAATTACTCTGGCTGGAGTGTGGAGAAGGGACTGGAAAGAGGGAAGGGGTCATGATGGAAGGAAGAGGAAAAAGCAAGTTTAGAAGAAAATGGAATTTTAAAATATTAGCCTAGAGAAAAAAAAATATGTATATAAGGGATGTGTGTGTATCTTTTTGTTTTATAAATGTTTAAACATATTTTTAAAATATAGGCAGAATAGTCTAACCCCATGTGCCTGTCACACAACCACAACAATTAGTGACTTATGAACTATTTTGTTGCGTATCTATTCCCACTCACTTCCCCTTCCCTTCCTTATTTTGAAGCAAAATCCTGACGTGATTTCATCTGCAAGTCTTTCAGTATGTATCTCCCTAAAGTGAGGACTTATTCTTTTGAACGGAGACATAATTACACCTAAATAATAATCATTTCTTAATATCATTATATATCTAGTCAGTGTTCAAATTTCCAGTTGCCTCATGAATGGTAGACTTCACAAACTTGTAAGTGAAATAACTAAGACTGTCCAGACTTCTGACTTCAGATGTGTGAATCTGTTTTCTCCCATACACAGCTGCTTTGCTGCTCCCAAATTGGAGAAAAAAAAGTTAGTTACTAGCATGATGTTAGGTAGATACAAAAGTTTCTACAACCTGCTTTTTGTATATATCCTCAAACTACTACATCCTGAGCTGCCCAAGTGTTTTCTTTTGTGCTAGTAAGTGCTACTTTAGGCAGTTGTATGGCATTATATTTCCAACTATGCTTTCATCTTTTTTAGGAGTAAGAATTATACTTGAAAAACTGTACACCTGTTACTTGAGCCTGAATTTTATAGCTCCGTGGCTGACTGTTGGCAGGCTCTGGGATTTGGAGCTTACCATCTAAAAGAGATAGTACTGAGAAAGTTGAGGTATACTACGAGAATTTTTTATGATCCAGGAATAGACAACTTTGTAAATTCAGGCTACTAATATTGTGTAAAAATGGGATGTTACGTATCCAAGTATTAACCTAAGGATAATTTATAGTTCTATTAAGAAAAATTAAAACAAGATTATTTCTCATTGTTGACTATATTTGTACCCTTGAGTAGGGAGATGTTTGTGGTTTGTCAGTTATTTATACCACCACCTTCTTCATCCATATTTTATTAAAAGTTAGTGTACTTTTATTGCCTCTAATCTCTTTTACAGATTTTATTTTGTGAAATATTATACATACAAAAGAATATAACACATGGTTATAGTTTTAAAAACAATAATAAAATGAAAGCTCACATAAAAAATAGAACAGTAACAATATTGAAGGCCATCCTGGTGCCATCCAAAACACACTGTGCACTCTGATTCAGAGCTAAACAATGTCCTGGATTTTATTGAATTATTTATTAATTTAGTTTCATTACAAATGTATGCATCCCTAAACACTGTTGCTTAGTTGTGCACATTTTTAATCACTTTTATAAAAATGAAAACATTCTTTGTATGTTTTTTATAGGACTTTTACTTTATTCAAAGTTAACATTTTGAGATTCTTTTATATGAGACAGCAATTTGTTCATTTTTCATTGTTGTTTTGGAGTTTGTTGTATGAATATAACCCGATTTACTTACACTTTGCCTATTGAAAAACATTTGGAGGGCGGGTGCTGTGGCTCATGCCTGTAATCCCAGCACTTTGGGAGGTCGAGGTGGGTGGATCACCTGAGGTCAGGAGTTCGAGACCAGCCTGACCAACATGGCAAAACCCCATCTCTACTAAAATTACAAAAATTAGCTGGGCGTGGTGATGGACTTCTGTAATCCCAGCTACTCGGGAAGCTGAGCTAGGAGAATCATGTGAACCCAGGAGGTGGAGGTTGCAGTGAGCCGAGATCGTGTCATTGCACTCCAGCCTGGGTGATGAGCAAGACTCTTGTCTCAAAAAAGAAAAAGAATCAAGAAAAGAAAAACATTTGGAATATTTCTGGGTTTTTTTTTTCTATTTCTCTTACAGACTATGTACATGTATAGGAATTTTTCCAGATTTTTTAAATCTGGGAAAGGTTTTGTTGCTTCACAAGGCCATGAATCTTTAACCTGGCTTGGTATTGCCAAATTGTTTTCCAAAGTGGTTGTGCCAGTTGATACTCGCTCCACAGCTGATGAAAGTTCCCATTGCTCCATAACCTCAACAGTACTTCATCGTATATTTAAGTGTTTTGCCAGTCTGCAGGGTATGAATAAACATCTCATGATTTTGTGTGTTCATTACCCTCATTTATAATTAGCTTGAGCTTTTTTTATTTTTGAAGATTTTTAATTTTGAAGATTTTTTTAATTTTTGAAGATAATTTATGTTTTCTCTGATGTGCTTTTTCTTATCTTTAGCCCATTTTTCTGTTTCTTGGGTTGTCTCTTACTGATTGATAGGAGTTCTATTTTTTATACCCTCAATACTAATCTTTTGTTAGTTAAATGTGTGTTGTGGATATCTTCTACCAATTCATGGTTTTCTTTTTCTATTTTTATGATGTCTTTTATGAAGAGTTTTAATTATCTTTAATCCATTGCAATCTGAATTCTGTCCCCACAGCTCTGTTGACATTGGCTCTTGAAGGCAAACTTCATAATGAGGGGAAGAGTCAAGTTTTGTGTAACCTGAAGCATATACAGTGTGAGCATACTCTTTAAGACTAAGTTATGAATATAAAGTTAGATGCAAAAGTAAATGATTACAATGAGACTATAAGTCACAACAATTACAAATTTTAAAAGCTACCAAATACTACAAATATTGCAGTTTTAAAATATAACATTCCTCTTAACTGCCTTGTATATCTTTATATTACTTATCTATTTTTTACTATATAAAGCCTGATTACCTTTGTATAATGAAAATTTTGTAATGTAATTTTGAAAGTTGGAGTATAAAAATGATCCGTATTTTCTTTAAATCATCTTAATATGGTTTAGTATTGACAGTGGAGATGCATAAAATATGTTCCTCTTCACACAGACTTGTTTGTAGCACTCCTGCAAGTTTAGGTTCTACAAACACGGACGTGCTGGTAGAGTCTATTTTTTCATCATTTCTGTCAAAAAAGAATTTATTTTCTGTTTTGGTCCGGTGTGTATTCATTTGTTAAACTGATGAGAAGAGAATTTCTGTTTTGACCAGGCATAGAAAAGAGAATCCTCTGTTTAAAATGTTCTGTGTGATGATTGAAAGGATTTTTCTATAGAAGAGTTCACGGCTCCATGTATTTGCATGTATGGCTGCTTCACTACTCGCATGTTCCCCACCCTGAGCTTTATAGAACATGTTGTATTACAATCCTGGTGCTTAAGTCATGACTCCAGGTAAGTCAGCACAAAAGGATGGAAGATATTCCTGGAAATCATTCCTACCCTAGGGCTCTGCCAATTACTTAACCATATGCGAAAGTGACTGTAAATCACATAGACAGGTTCACACAACTCGAGTTAATATATTCCCATCTCAAATACTTCTTAGGCAAATCCGAAAAATGTTCACTCATAGCTGTAGTAATGACAGCAGACACATTGATGAAGGGCAAGTCAGAGTGGAAAGTGACAGGGGTCTTAACCAATTACAGTTAAATCTCTCACTCCTGCAAAAACATCTGACGCATTGAGCACATTCATAGGTCCTTGGAAACAGCCTGTGGCGATGAGATACCTGGACACTAGTTTCAGGGTAAATCCTGCATCTTTAATCTGCTCGCTCTCTCTACAGCCCTGAACACTTTCCCTTGCTTGTTTTCTTTACTTTCTCACCTTTAGTTGTCTCTCCCTCAAAGGCTTTTCTAGACTCTACTAACTTAATGTATTTCTCCAATATCTGCCTTGCTTTTAATTTTTTCATCCTGTAGTATCCCTTTGACCTTACTGATCCCACCGCTTGAACTGTCCTTACCTGTTCTTATGTGACGGTGACTCCAAAATTTCCATGTTGAATCCTGAATGTCTGCCTGACTCCGGCATTCCTTTTCTGATTGTGAGCAAGGGGCATCTCCTAATTGACATGGCTCCTCAGATGCCTCAGATTATATATGTTCAGAGCAAACTTTTAATATTTCTTCCAGACCATTCACCACTTCATCCTTTCATGTTCCAGTCATTTCTATTCTCAGCTCTGGGCATTTTCATTCTCCCAGTCACGTAGCCTCAAATCTTCATCATCTCCGTTACCTTATTTTTTCACACTTTACTTCCCTCATTTTGCCCCTCTATTCTCCTATCCCATGGATTCACCTTGTATGTCATTTACATTTGCCTTTTTTCTTCCCTCAGCTCCTTTCCCCCATTTCAGATTCTCTAACAGAGGTACAAACTGCTGTGGGATATGGACAAGGGGAAGTGAAGACGAATTCAACTTTTCCTAAAGCCTCATGTAAATCTGTCTGCTTATCTCCATCTTCACTTTGTCCATGATCCCAAAATTCAGAATTTCTCTACCATTTTTCTATATACATTTTTTTAATATTGGTCATAACATTTAAAAACTGTGTAGAAGGCCAGGTGCCGTGGCTCAAACCTGTAGTCGCAACACTTTGGGAGGCCAAGGTGGGCGGATCATGAGGTCAGGAGATCAAGACCATCCTGGCCAACATGATGAAACCCCATCTCTAACTAAAAATACAAAAAACCTAGTGAAGCATGGTGGCGTGCACCTGTAGTCCCAGCTACTCAGGAGGCCCAGGCAGGAGAATCGTTTGAACCTGGGAGGGGGAGGCTGCAGTGAGCCATCGCACCACTGCACTCCAACCTGGGCAACAGAGCGAGACTCTGTCTCAAAAAACAAAAATTGTGTAGTAATATTTTGTCAACATAAGATTATAAGCACCTGTATGGTTGTAAACATGTAGTGGGCAAGGAATCTATTCTCACTTTGGTCCAGAACAATGCCTTACATGTAATAGGCCCTGAAAAAGTACATGTGGAATTGACTCCTTCAAAAGTGCCTTTTGTTGCCACTTTTTGTTTTCAAAAATAGATACATGTAATTATACCTTTACATATAGTATAGAGCTTGCAGTTGATTTATAGCAGTATTTGACATAAAACACAACTTCTTTCTTAAGGTGACTTCGTGCCTCTAAAAAGCATACTAGGAAAAACATACTGTGTATTATACTGAAGACAAACAAGGCCTAGTGGCCCCTAGTCCAGTTCTGAGACTGGCTGATCTTTGGTATATTTCATTTTAAATTTCCTCTTGTAGGAATGTCATTCCATTTTTAATCTGCCCGTGTCATGAGTTTCTAACCGCAGGTGCACAAGGAAGTTGGCACTTCAAGCTGGCAGGGATTCATTTCTTCCTTAGCTGATTCCCCAGCAGATCCCTTCTCCAGTTTCACTGCATGCTTTCTGTCTTGTGAATTCCTGTAAGTGTATCTCTTCTCTCATCTTTCCCACTTCTTTTAGAAAAAGAGCAAATACAATTGATCTTTACCTTTTTTTTTTCAAGCTTTAAAATTGTGGTTCAAACTCATTGTTATGTTTAGTGTGATCTTGTAGAAAATGCACTGTACTTTAGGCTCATAGACTGTAGTTCTGCCAGAGCCTAAAGTATAACTACAGTCAAGCCAGGTGATCTATCTGTGCCACATTTGCTTAATCTTGAAAGTGAGGGTGAGCCTTAGGGCTGTTCTGTGGATCAAATAAAATGATGAAAACTGCTTTGAAAAGCTTGGAGCAGAATTTTTCAACATTGAGAAATGTTCAGACAACCTTTAAAGGAAAAAATTATCATGGACCCCTGGTGTTGACTTAGCATTGTAACGTTAAAAAAAAATCCAGTTGTACTTTTCACATACTTTATACTTACTTATTTCTCTTATACAGATAAACAGCTATTAAACTATTAAATAAATATATGAAAAAGGTCCCAGAACAATTATACCACCAATAGCTTATTTACAAATTGACAAGATCAGTTTAATGAACAATATTGTTGTTTTTGCTGCTGTTTGCTGAAACTAAATTAGTGTAACTGAGCATTGTACTGATTACTGCCACTGGTCTTGTAATGATTCAGTTCTCTCAAGCTATATCTCTGTTTAAGCTAGAGAAACCTTGGCTTATGGAATGCAGTCCCATTATTTAATATTTACTTTCTGAATTTACATCTCTGTTTATTTTTTTTTAGTGCTTGGCAAATAGTATTAATAGTATAAAACCTTGCCACATCGTACCATTATTTTGAATTTAAATTGGTGTTTTAGTTTGTTTGCGATTCTAGAAACTAAAAATGTATTCTGTTGAATGGTATTATAACATGAATTATTACTTAAAAATTTGTCTTAAAGCTGATTAAAACAAGACTCTTTTACTATAGTGATAGTTGCTGTATATTAGGTTACACTTTGAGAAACACACATAATGTTATATGATATGTTATATATAATACACAATGTGTAAATGTAAGGGGGCATTATAGATATCAGACAATAGTTGTAAATTGTTCAGCCATTTTTATATGATATAATATTCTATAAAGAAAAAATTATTATTTTTTGAAAACAACTACTGATTCATCCTTAAATATTTATTATTTTATAATTTACTAGGGTAATTTTGATCCTCACATTAATCAGGTATTCTAGGAAAATATGGTACATTTCAGATTTGTATGCATATTAGAGAAATAGAGACCCTAGAATATATTTTATCTGAATATATTGGCTGAAATACATGAGTATCTACATGCCTACATTTTAAGGAAGTTTTCCATATTCCTATTTCAACTAAGTTCATAGTCTAGCAGTGTGCCGTATTACTGGAAGGGGTAGTCCTAAGTGGATAACTGTAGTAAAAAGATTTCTTTAAAAATAAAATAAGCTTTACTCCCTAGAATTCAAGCATAGCATGCATACCACAGGGATTTTTTATTCTTTCTTTTATATGTAATGCCATGGATATTTCAAAAGTATGGAAGTATGATGTATGAGAAATGTCTTTCAATTACATATAGTGAAAACATTCTAAAATGACCTTGGAATATAGAGTCTGAAATATCCAATCACCAGCTCAAAGATTATGTTTTACTTATTGATTTGGCATTTTGCAAAATATTAATTTTTAGATTGTTCTTTGATTTTTCTATTGATTAATACCACCTACTGCTGATTTATGAGGCTTTTCTTACAAGGGAAATAAAAGAAGTCAAGTTTTTTGAAGATTGGAGTTAGTTATATTAGGGAATGCTGAATTTAGTATTTATGTGAAATTCTATGTAAGTTTTCTTGTATTTTTAATGTGTTTTCTCTTGTTACCAGTTTTTGTGTGTTTGTTCTCCCTTGCCCAGCCCCCATTCTTAGAGGCTATGCTTTTGAGGTCAGTAGTAAATGGAGTTGTCTTCTCTAAATTTGTTGGACTTAATTCGAGAACGGTAGAATGAAGGAACTAGTGAAGTCTGGGGCACAGAGAATCCCGTATTAATGTTACCACCAGTCTTATAACATGGCAGATAAAGACGTAATGATATGTTTTGTCAACTAGTAATTAAAATGTGACAATTGAAATAATTAAGTAAACTTATTCCTGATAATTCCTAGCAGTATGGCGTTTTAGTGATAAAATATAAAGTTAAATTTGAATCACAGTTGTTAAAATTAGGGATTATTGCTTACTAATCCAGAGTTCACACACTTGTCTTGGTCTTTCCCTTTAAGTTTGCAATTTTGAACAAAGTATAGGATTTCTCCCTTGTGTGATAGGAACACATTGTAATGAAATCCTTCATGCATCACTGCATTGATTTTGTATTATTTGTGCTGAGAGAGGGAAACAAAATGATTATTTTCTAATGCTGAGTGGAATGATTCAAAGCAAAGATAAGTGAAAAAATGCATAGCAGCTGGAGAACAAATGTTACTCCCATCAATTATTCCCTGACAGATGAGGGAGTATTCTCAGGCAGACCTCTAGAATCACTGTTTCCATCTAGGCAGGGTGTACTAAAATAATTTCTCCACGTGTATTTTAGGTGCTGTTGTATTCTCCATATGAAATAAGATCTTTAGTTACAGATCTTTTTATGAGCCCCAAACTCCTAATGGATGGTATGCATTGAATTATTTTGGTATTGTTAGAGAGTAAAATACTGGAGAGACTAATAATCTCCAGAATGGCTTACTTTGATGAGCCTAGCCAGGACATCTTTGTCTTGTTGTTAGCTTCTAAATGAAGTGCCTTTCTGTATGGTCTGTTGCTACTGAGTGTGAGGAATCTTGTGTGGCTGCTGAGGAATTTAGCTGCCACTTTCCAGGCACCGGAACAATGTGCCCATTCGTGGATTAAGGAAACCATGACCTCAAGCCTCCTAATCCTCCTCGTCACAAGCTTCATGGTCTTTAACTGGCCCAAGTTACTTTTAATTACTGCCCTACTTCTGCTTCCATTTCTGTATCCAAATGCTGTCGTGCCCCCTGCACGCCCCTATCCCCATCTTCCCTTGAGACTTAGAGAATTGCTTGCTTCTCTATGCTTTGTTTTGGTTTCATTTCCTTATTTACTTCCAACCTGAATACCTTCCTTGACTTTCATCCCCAAAGAATTTTTTTAACCTTATTATCTACGACCACAGCCACCCCGTTTTCCTCTTCTTGCTTTTAATTGTCAGTGTCACGCTGGCCCCGTATGTTCCTGTTTGAAGTCTTGCTAGGTCTCCCTCCTCCTTTCTGCTTTCTGATAGTGTCCGTGTGATTTTCGTGCTGGCTTATCAAACTTCATATCCCTTATATGGAAACTTTTCCCCATTACATTATTTTTGTAACTAAGTACTTACTGTGTATTGTGGAATCTATTTGGTTCTATTATAGCTAGATGAAGGAGAGACTCTTGCAGACTTTATTAGGCAGAGGAGGCTACTTGGTATATTGTAATAGTTCTGGGTCTACAGCATAAGGCAATTATATCATGTAAATCAGAGCAACCAGGATGCTATGGAGTCAGAAAATCTTGTTATTATCCTAATAATGAAAGTATAAAAAATTGGCTGCATATTAAAAGGACTGATTTAGTAATAATAGTGGTAGCCAAAGATTAAATGGCCTACCTTAGTAAGTAGTGAGGCCCTTGTCATTTTAAACACACACGCACACAAACACACACACACACACATACCTATTCACCTTCAGAGTTGTAAGGGAGGCTAAAAATCAGATATATGGGTGAGTAGAAGAGATTTAACATTTGATTTTCAACATAGGATCACAGGATTTAGTGATTAGCAGAATCGAGAGGCTGTATGGTTGTACAATCACTGATAAGATAATGAAGTAAGCATATCATAGTGGAAAATAACACTGGCTCTGGAGTCAGACTGATAGGGATTAAAATCCCAGCACTGCTGGTTTTTGGTATGTGACCTTGGAAAAGTTAGTTAACTTCCTTAAGCCTCAGTGTCTTCATGTTACAATGGTGATACAGTAACTACTACATAATAAATACTCAGAAATTATTAGATAGCAACATCATTATCATCATCGTCATCCAAAGATGATTGTAGGAATAAACTTTAGAGATTCACTGCACAGTATGGTGACTGTAGTTAATTTATATTTTAAAATTGCTGAAAGAGTAGATTTTAAATATTCATAAACATATAAGGTGATGGATTTGTTAATTAGCTTGATTTAATCATTCCACAATATATACCTATATTAAAATATCACATTATACCTTATAAATATGTATATATAATTATTTGTCAATTTTAAAAATACAGGTAGTTATAGCAAAGGAAAAACCCAATGTGATTTTTTTATTGTCTTTATCTATTATCAGAGCTCATACCATAAGAAGCTCATAGCTTCTTATATGCTATGTCTTGTAGTCCTCATAATCTTGTTAGGTACGTGGTTTTGAAGGAGAAATTGAGGTTCAGATACGTTAGGGAAGGCCTATTATGGGAACTCAGAACTAATTGATCAACATCTGTGTTTAAGCTTGTTGTCCAGTAGCCAAATGATGTCAAGTGCTGCAAAAATCTGCACCTAAAACACTTTTTGGATTAGACTTTTTAATTCTAATCTTTCTTTAAATGAGGGGTTACAGTTTTTTTCTTTAAAATTCATCCATCAAATAAGGTTGCCTTTCTTAGAGGCAGCTTTGAAATAAAATCTAAAAGGAAATATTAGACAAATGTTAAATTATATTAAAGAAAACAGGGCTTGCCAGTTATATTTCCCCTTTTGTTGTAGGGCACACATCTAATCCTTACCCTGTTACTGAGTTACAGTTTGATTGTGACCACAAAAGTAATCACAGTCAACAGGAATGGCTGGCACAAGAACAGCTGGCATCAGGTGCAACTTTCTCTCTCCTCCATCCTAGTTAAGTGCCATTACTTATGCCCTTACCCTTGGATTGTACCAGCACTGTCTAGCCAAGATAGTTTTCCTGTGGCTGATGAATCACATGGTAAGAGGGATGAGGGTGGAAGTTGAGGGAAGATAAGCAGAACAGTGAAGATCCTAGCCCTGGGGAGAATAACTGTCTGGCAAATTAAAGATAACGAGAATGACTTTCTTCCCTGCCTAGGAAATTGCCTCCAAAGGTAGGTACAGAAGTGTTCTAAGTTGGGATAGTATCACTGGGAGAAGAACAAGGCTTCTAGTGAAGTGCTGTGAAGGCCTAAGTCTTTTTAAATGATCCTCTGTTTCACTTGTTGTTGAAAGGGAAAGTTAAAATTATAAATGCCTAAATATATGCACAAAGGACAAGAACCACAGCTCGTGTGTAATTCTGGTGTGTTTCTTAGAAAGTCTCACTACTTTATATTAATAATTACACAAACTATACAGGTTTTTTCAGTAGTTGACAAAAGGAAATAAAGGCACTTTCTAAAGGCCTTGTCTTAGTCCATTTTTTGCTGCTATAACAGAATACCACAGACTGGGTAATTTATAAAGAAAAGAGATTGATTTGGCTTATGGTTCTGGAGGATGGGAAGTCCAAGTGTATGGTGCTGGCATCTGGTGAAGACTTTTGTGCTGTGTTATTCCATGATAGAAGGGCAAGCCAGGGTGCCAGGCAGAAAGGGAAAGGGGGCAGAACTCCCAGGATAACAGCATTAATCTGTTCATGAGGGCATAACCCTCGTGACCTAAACACCTCTTAAAGTCCCACCTCATAATGTTGCAATGGCAATTAAATTTCAACATGAGCTTCAGAGGGGATGTTCAAACCATAACAGGCCTGTATGTTAGGTTTATAACTACTATGGAAAGGACTGATGTAAACTCAGCCTCAAACTTGGCGTCTCAGGTCAGTCAGAAAAGTGCCTAAAGCTTCTTCACTCTGAAATATCAGCATATTGAGACATCAAAGGATAAAAAATTCTGTGCAAAATGTTGACTCTGCAACTTAAAGACAAATATGGCTTGCATAACATAAGGGTACAAGGTGAAACTCTTTAATCATGATGAGAAAGCAGAAAGACATTGTATTTTGCAGGCAAGAGAATAAACTTGATCTCTGCAGGAAAGTCATGATAAAAACAGGTATGTTTGGATTGGGTTTTCAGTCATCAACTGGTCATCACTGAAGCTTCCTATAACAGCTCTTTAAAGTTTCCTTTGAAAATCTTTTGAAAGAACTTTTTTCTTAAATCCATACCTTTGAAATCTTGAAGGAGCACTTAATTTTTAAGAATCTTTAAGATATAATGCTAGAAATTCATGTACCATATTACATTCGAAATATGATTTCATGTGGTTATTTATTCTGTTATTAGATAAAACTGTATGCAATAGAAAGCTTTCAAATATAGACTTGTTTAATTAAATATGGTTTTGTATAGAACATAAGGTATTAGAGCATAGTTAGGAATTATGGGAAATTATTATTATTTATACTGGAAATTCAGGCTTGATTTATGTCACACTCTAAGAATAGTATTTAAAATTCAGATAAAAATCATTTATACTGTGCCAGCCTTGAGGAATAGGTCAGAAAAGGTGTTTGTTATAAGAACTTGGTAATGGGCTGTTAATTAATTAAATAGTTTTTGAGGCACGCTGCCAGGCCCAGGAAAGTGCTTTCAAAGTCTGTACTGTTTCCATAGCTCCTGCAAATGATAAGAGGCTTGAGGATACTTCCCAGGAACTCCTGCCTTTTTGGAGGTGACTCTGTCAGTTAAAGTGTGAATGAAGAGTGGAGCATAAAAGTAGAGTATCCCTTTATGTTGGAGATGTTTATGTTGCAATAAATGAAGAAAAATAAGTTATGAACTTTTGACTCGAGTTTCCAAAATTCACATTATAACTGTGATGCAGGAGCTGAGAAATTTCCATTAAAAGAGTTGTTCAATGCAGGTGATTAATAATACTCAACTCCTAACCACAGGGCTATAGAAAAGTTAAAATTGTTTAATCTCACTTTCCTAGCATAGTTACTATTATAATATTATTTTACTTGTACTCATTTTTTCTATTATGTTATATAGTTACAATTATTCCACAGAAATTTACAGCATGCTTTTTTAAACTTAGATTTATTTAACATACATTTTCAAATTTGCTTCATAAACTTCATAATTAATTTCAATGAAAGCATACTATTCTGAGCAAATATATAACAACCTAATAGTCTCCTATCAGTGGACATTAAAAATTATTTCTGAGTTTTGATTTTTACTATTAAAGTTGAATGCATGGGCTGGGTGTGGTGGCTCATGCCTGTAATCCCAGCACTTTGGGAGGCCAAGGTGGGCGGATCACCTGAGGTCAGGAGTTCAAGACCAGCCTGGCCAACATGGTGAAACCCCATCTCTACTAAAAATACAAAAATTAGCCGGGTGTGGTGGTGCGTGCCTGTAATCCCAACTACTCGGGAGGCTGAGGCAGGAGAATCACTTGAACCCAGGAGGCAGAGGTTGCAATGAGCCGAGATCGCGCCATTGCGCTCTAGCCTGGGTGACAAGAGCAAAACTCCATCTCAAAAAAGAAAAAAAGAATGCATGATAGACATCTTTGTGTATATAGCTTTGTCTGTTTTTTATTTGTTCTGTTACAGTAATTATTAAGTATGTAAATAAAGTTCTAGACAATTAATTCTGAGATTTGTTATCCAGTTCACAAATTTTGTCTTCAGCTGTATCTAGTCTATAAATCAACTTGTCAATTGAATTATTTCAATGAATGTGCTTCTTATCTAGAATTGGTATTGTTTACATCATTTTTTCATGCAGCCTTCTTCTTGCCTAATGGTTTCTATTCTTCTTTTTTTCACTTTGAGCATTTTTTTTTTTTTGAGATGGAGTTTCCCTCTTGTTGCCCAGGCTGGTGTGCAGTGGTGCGATCTCGGCTCACCGCAACCTCTGCCTCCTGGGTTCAAGCGACTCTCCTGCCTCAGCCTCCCAAGTAGCTGGGATTATAGGCATGCGCCACCAAGCCCGGCTAATTTTTTGTATTTTGAGTGGAGACAGGTTTTCTCCATGTTGGTCAGGCTGGTCTCAAACTCCCGACCTCAGGTGATCCACCTGCCTCAGCCTCCCAAAGTGCTGGGATTACAGGCATGAGCCACTGCTCCTGGCTGACTTTGAGCATTTTAAACATAGTTATTTTAAAGCATCTTCCCATTTGTTCTGTTTTCTTCAGTGCTTGGGGTGCAGACATCTTTTGTTTGTGGTGACTAATGCTTCTAACATGTTTTCTTGTTCTTAACTGTGGTTTGCACTGTCTTATAGTCATCCTTACTGGGGGGAAACTAATTATTTTCCACAGACATCCCTTATACTTCAGGTTAGAGAACCAGACAGTAGTACCTTTTATGTAGGGGGCATACATTCCAAGACTCCCAGTGGATACCTAAAATCATGGATAGTACTGAACACTATATATACTATTTTTTAATACATATATACCTCTTATAAAGTGTAATTTATAAATCAGGCAGAATAAGAGATCAATAACTACTAATAAAATTTAAAAGTTGTAAAAATATGCTATAATAAAATTTATGTGGCCGGGCCTGGTGGCTCATGCCTGTAATCCCAGCACTTTGGGAGGCCGAGGCGGGTGGATCACGAGGTCAGTAGATCAAGACCATCCCGGCTGACATGGTGAAACCCCGTCTCTACTAAAAATACAAAAAATTAGCTGGGCCTGGTGGCAGGCACCTATAGTCCCAGCTACTTGGGAGGCTGAGGCAGGAGAATGGCGTGAACCCAGGGGGCGGAGCTTGCACTGAGCTGAGATGGAACCACTGCACTCCAGCCTGGGTGACAGAATAAGACTCTGTCTCAAAAAAAAAAAAAGTTATGTGAATGTGGTCTCTCTCAAAATATCTTACAGTAGTACTCTCCTATTTTGGGACCATAGTTGACCACAAGTAAGTGAAATCATGGAAAGCAAAACCATAGATGAAGTGGGACTTCTGTACTTAGAAAGAAGTTAAGCATTAACCAATCCTGGACCTGCCATCCTACCTCTTTTCTGCTCAGGGTCCATGAATCGCATGCATACTGCGAGTTTGAATATCCCAGTCATCAGCACAGTCCAGGCCTTGGTTTCCAACTTCTTGGAGTGATTCTTTCTCCACCCAGTCAAGCTGATGAAAAGTCTTGTGCCCTTGACAAAGTGCTGATTAGTCCTGCAAATGTAGCAGCCTTCCGTGGCTTTGTGCATTCAGGTCAGGTCAAGATTTCCTTGTGACTGTATCATTTCTCATCCTTTGATTGCCCTCAGCCCCAGCTTGTATCTATCTGGTCCTTTCCCAGGGGCTACCTTTTTTTTTTTTTTTTTTAACCCTGTAGGTTTCCTTCTCTTTGTTTCAAGCTTAATTAGGTAGTAAAAATGTTGTGTTTAATACTTTTATGTGTGTGTAGCTGGTGGAGAGATTTTCCTTATCAGCTCAATTCCCCATATTGAACTGAAATCACCAAATTACTTTCCTATGCCACCAGCAACGTGTGAGTATTAGTTTCTCCATACTGACAGTAGCATTGTTATCATAAAATGTGTTTCCCCTGGTTTAATGGTTGAAAATGATATATTATTACATGTAATTTTATACCTCATTACATATAATTTTATATCACTGGTTCATAGAGAACAAGGAAGTAGATAGAATGTGCTTTCCTGAACAGACGTGTTAGAAATGTATGTATAAAGGGATTTGTTCTTTGACCTTTTGCCATTTTTTCTCTTCTCATATTCATAGGTCCATTGCCAGCACTTGAGTAAAGATAAAGAGTAGGAGAATCAAAGCTGTTGTATAATTAGTTCTCTTCTCATCCACACCCATAAACCAGTTCAAGAAAGGGATGAAGGTAAAGTACATAGATGAAGAAGCCACATTTATTTGTGCTGCAGGAGCCCTTGTAATCTCTTCAAAACACCTCCTGTGAAGCCCTCTCACAGACATAGAGCCTGGAAGAGTAGATTTTTTCACTTTCCTTGAGTATAAGTGATTTTCTTTCAGATGGTGCCATCTCTTTCTAGAAAGAATGTAAGAAGGCAGAAAAAAAAAAGAAAAACAGAGACTATTTACCATGAAGAGCTATATCAATGTACTCATTTATTATGATGATAGGATGTTGGTGCCTGGCAGCTGACTATTCTATTGCATTAGAATTATAGGCTCTTTTTTCCTTCCTTTCCCTCCCTTTCTCCCTCCTGCCCTTCCTTCCTTTTCTTTCTATTTTTTTTAACCTCTGTTGTATGATCCCTCTAAAAACGTAGACAGATATCAAAGCTTTGCTCTCCTAACTAGTATCAGAGATAAACTGCTGACAAGCTGCATTCCATCTCCGTGCACATTCGTTGGGAGAACTTTCAGCAAAAACTATTTATATCATCTCAATTTTATTTCCAGTTAACCTGACCCATGTTATATTACACAATCTTTAAAAATGTTCAGATTCCCATATTGCTTCAGCTATTTTAGACTAGTTTCAGAAAATAGTTTTTTGGTTCATGCTTGTCGTTTTCTGTTCCCTTTTGCTAATGTGAATTGAAGACAGCTTAGCATTCTTTTTTTTTTTTTTTTACTAAATCTGAGGGTCAGACAGGTCTTCAGACAGCAGATTTGGCTTCCACAGAGAAAAGGGGAAGAGAAGACTGCAGTTGGCCAGCATCTTCAGGGTGTACTGCCTGTTCTCTGCATTTGATCCATTTCATGTAACTGAAATGAACGTTTTCTTACATTATGCTCGTTCAGTATTTTGCTCTAAAGGAATGAAGATAGTGTTGTTAAGGTGCAGATACTGGGCTGCTCAGTGTGACTGGTAATTATTTCCTCTTAAGAATTGCCAGAGTATAATAATTTACCATGTTTTTGTCTATTTTATTCTCATTTATTAGTGATCAAATATGTTCAATTTTAGTTTCAATTGATTCTTCTCATTATAATGTGCTTTTTAGGTATAATGCATGAAGTGACTTGATGTAAGAAGTTATAATAAGATATCTGCCTTACTGTAATTCTCTTCTAAACAAGCAATTCATGAAATAGCTCAAAGGAGCATTGTGTTTGGCAGATTTGGATGTCTATACCAATTTCCACTTCTTCTGATGCAAACAGTTTCACATTAAATCTCCAGGAAGTTTTGTTTAAATGTGCTTCAGTTTAAACAAGCTTAAGTTTATTTTATGCAATAAAAATAGTTCGTTGTGTTAAAAAAATAGATCTTTACAATTTACTAATAAACTACCTATTCTACTTAATGCTTTAGGCAAAATTTACAGAAAGGGTACTTTTTTGCTTCTTTGTGCCTACTACCCTATTACCCACAGGTTAAACCAAGGACTCTGGGGTTCATGTGCATTTAGTAGTCTCCCTGATGCTGCTGTGCCTGGGTGTAGCAGAGAGAGCTGAGGAATGATCTAAGGTCTGCCAGCTCCAAAGTCCAGCCCTCCCAGGTCTACCACGGTACCTAAAATTCTGCAGTTAAATACTCAAAATTTCAGTTAAGATGTACCTTCAAAAAGACGGGGTTGAATTCAGTTATAACCTGAGAAGGTTGACACACTAAGCCACTAGCATGCCAGACACATTAGCACTGACTCTTTAGATTTCTTACATCACTTTGGAAAGCAATCGTTTTGAAGGTAGTATGGTGGTGGTATAGGGTACCAAGAATGTTAAGAAAAGAAATGGAGCCGTTAAAAGGGAAGGAAGAAGAACTCCAAAGATAAGTTTTTCTTCTTTTAAAGTTTTGTCTAAGGCTGACTCCATAATAATTTTAACCTTTAGGGACAGTAGAAAGCTAAAGACTGAAAGCAAATAAATATTACATGTAATTGGCTCTCACCTCCAATGATATAGGTAATAATAATGGCCATCATTTATTATGTATTTGCTATGTGCCAGGTGCCATCTTCTTTTATTACAGCCTGACAAATTTGGCATTATCATATTCACCTGGAAAATCAGAAACTGAAGGCTCAGCGAGGATAGACAATCACTTATTGGGCCAGATACGTGTTCAATTGGGTTTTAGACCCAGCATGCTCCAATTCCAGAGCCCCCTACTTTGTTCATCTCACCTCATGATTTTCAGTTTCTTGATCTATTATTTTTGCCTTGTTAACAATTTTTAAATATAATTACTTGGAAAAAAATCACTCGGTTAATGTCTGAAAGCATCTACTGACATTAGTGTAGATACATTTTTAATTGGATTAGATCCCATAGTTTTATATGAGAGAGCAAGGAGTGTCAGGTTCTAAAAAAGTCACCTTTAATTTTTTTAAAAATGATTTACTAGGAACCCAGTATTATTTCTTTCATGGAATTTTCCCATCTAGTTCTTTACTTTTCATTGCATTTCACTTTTCTTTTCTTTGCTCATTTTCCTCTGTATCTACTTTGATCAGCTGTGATGTTCAAAGAAACTCTTCTCGGTGAGATAATAACTGCCAGCCCTAGTTTTTGGTGCTGAGTTCTTGACTCTTTCCTCTGTCTTCATATGCATTTTAGTGTGATTTGGAGTCCCCACCAGGAGGGGCTGGCCAGATGCATCTTTAAAATCAAAAGCCACTTTCTACTTTTAAAAGGATACTCATTGAACAAATATATACTGAATCTAATTAAAAGCCTTAGATTAAATGAAAGAGATAGTCAGAGGTAGTTTGATATGTAGTCTCGCAAAAGAAAAAGATACTTAAAAAGAAACAATAAGAAACTACCAAGGAATAAAAAACTATGAAGGAATAGGAAGGAATTGAAGCACTTTAAATGTTTCCAAATATTTAAAATATAGCATATACAATACTAAAAATGAAAGCATTGCTAAGAGCTATCCTGGTAAGCACAACAGAATGACTATGTTTCAGTTTGAACAGCTTATATGACAGAATTTGGATAGTTTTTGCAAATTAACATTTACTGATGAATTTGAGATATGTACAATGGATACTTTAAAGGTACTCCGTCATGTCTACAGTGTGTTTTTATGTATACCCATTTTATATATGCCCACTGAATATACCCATTTTTGGGTAATGGTTCACAATTGTTTATACTACTTTGGATCTTCTGTTTAAAATATATTTGCATGATTATAATTTAACGTGAACCTCATTGATAATGGTGGATTTATAACCAGAATATTTGACATATTCTTAGAAAGCATTAGTTTTGTGTTTTGCAGAAATTTATTCTATGCAGAATTTTCATGAATTTGTTCCTATGTTTTCCTTTGGTGCTCCTTAGCATAATATGGTAGCAGACAGCCTTGGGAGTTAAAGTTATATTTTACTTTTGTAATGTGCAAGTGTCACTAATATTTGAATAAAGTAGATGTGATGCTTTAATTTGATTTGATTTTTGGCTTTGCTAGCAAATCTGTGTTCATCTTTGAATTTCTTATTTATATGCTTATGTTTTGATCACTATATTCCACTTCCTTTTCAAATCCTTATTTCATAACTCCTTAAATTGAAGGTATATTTTCAGAACTTCTAGTAAAATATCTTTGAACAACCCAGTCTTTTTCATGGGTAGTTTTTCAGATATAGAATATTAAATGTTTATTTCCAGAAAGTTAGCATTTCTATCTTGATTCTTCTTCAATGCCCATAAGAAGAAAAGAATTGAAACATACTTGAAATAATTGACATTTAGTTCTGATTTTTTTTCATTGTTTCAGTATGAAACAATATATTCACCTATTCATGTATTATAAACTGTTCATGGTTCTGGGGATATAGCAGTTAACCAAAATGAGTCCCTGTTTTTTGGAGATTATAATTTAGTGAGAAGAAACAGGTAATAAACAAATATACATAACAGGACAGGGGTGATAATGGTTAATATTACCAGAAAAACAAAGCTAACATAAGAGGAAGGGTAGGAATAGGCCAAAAAGAAAGGTAGGTGCTTGCATGTTTTGTGTATGTGTGTGTGTGTGTGTGTGTGTGTGTGTGTGTGTGTGCTGTTTTTGAGAGCATGGTCGTGGAACGGTTCATTGATGAGGGGATGTTCATAAGAGACCTGAATGATGCAAGAAAATGAGTCATGAAACATCTAGAGGGGGAGCTTTCCAGGGAGAAGGTCAAGCAGGTACCACAGCCCTGAGGCCAGAATATGTCTGGGAAAAAAAAAAAAGTAGTCTGAAAGCTTTGGCTGTTTTCTTTTAGTAAAGACTTATAGAGTTCGTATTCAGCTACCATATCTAATTCATGTTAAATAGCACAGTAAAAGAGAAGTATGTGAATTCTGAGAAAATGGATATATAATACCAAGAATACTCCATATATATCAATTACATCCCAGTCATTCATTGTGTCATCTCACTGAGTGGTAACCAGAAAGAGCACAAGATTTTTAGTCTAGCAGATCTATTTCCAAATCCCCATTCTTCTGTCATGTACCTACTGAGTGATGTTTCTAAGGCAAAGGACATGTAACAGCAGCAACAATAAAAGCAGTTCTTATTTATTAATTTATGAAATGTGTTAACATAAATCCTAGAAACATAATGCCCCGCTGACTACATGTGCAAGTTATACTGTCATCCTGTCTCTGTTTATAAAAGAAATTTATTTTATTTAAGATTTTTATTTGTCTGCCTGTTGTTCTCTGAATGGGAACTGACTCTGGATTTCATTCAGGGCTAGTGTGTACACACATACAGAGGATGCTGTTTGCTTAGACAACCTCAGGTAGCACCATTTACATTGTTTTCCCTGGAGTTGGTCAGAATGGATGGTCATTAACTAAATCAAGTGATCCTGGAATAGATTGAAAGCTCTTGCATGCCTTTATCAAAATACCACCATAGAGTAGATGGGAAGAGATTTTGGAAATAGTGATAGCAATCACTCACAGTTATTGAGTTTGTACTGCTCTAAATTCCAGGCTGTACTCTAAATGCCTTGCATGGATTAGCTCACCACAGCCTCGGTACAATTCTGTGAGGTATATGTAGATGAGGAAACTGAATTACAGAGAGAAAAATCAAATTATAATTGATATCAAGCTCTGCTTTCCTCTTATTTAATGTTATCATTAAGTTATTTGGTACAGCTATTGTTCAAACAGTGTATATGCCTTTCTGATGCAGGAAATGAGCTATGAATCCATCTCTGTGATGATTGCATCATCTCACTGTAGCTGGAGTAATCAGCCTCCAGAGATAACTGAATCTTTTAGCCAATTATGGTCAGAAGCAGTTCAAAATCACACACACTAAAACCAAACTTTTCTCATGGGTTAGAGTCTTAACATTCTGATAGTATGAAAACTTCCTTCTCCCAGTGATTCATTCATTTACCTGGGATACAATCTTCCCATGAACTCATTTTTGTGATGAAAGGAAGTTATTTTTAAAAATAAAAATTAATACCATTTAATGTCAAGATATCTCTTTTGTACTTTAGTGTAGTATTGTTAGGGACTCAGTCATGCATGTGCTTGACTGAACTTTTGAGCAAACCCAAAGCCCCTTCCTAATAAACCATGTTGACCCTGCTCAAAATCCTCTTCAGGCCACCTGTACACTGAGATGCACTGGTCCTGTGTTGTGTAAATATATTTAAATATGTGTTTTTATTTTCCCAGAAAGCCAGCAACATTGCCATTTAGCTACTTACTTCATGTCTGAAGTATATAGACTTCCACCTAACACTTAGCAATCACTTAGAAGTTTCATTGATACCAATGTGTATGCTATCTGGTTTTTATCTGAAAGTCACCTAAAATAGTTGATATTCCAGAAAAGAAAGCAAAGGAACATATTATATAGTTTGAAGTCACATCTTCAGAAAGCTATATACCTAAACTCTATTACTTTACACCCCTGTAAAATATATCTTCATTAGATGTATTGATTTTAAAAACATGGCTATATATTGGTTTTGTAAGACATCTTTTTAAAAGTTCGTACTTGTAAAGTCAGCACATTTTATAAGTTTTTCTACGAAAATAATCAGAAATGCCCACAAACAAATACACTAGGATATTAATCACTACAATATAGTAGAGAAAACATGGAAAACTCTAAACGCTGAATGGTAGAGATTAGTTACATAAATAGTAGGATGCCTGTATATGGAGGAACTTTAAGCTATTTTAGAAAAGAAAAGCGGTTATGATCTAATAAACATAAATGCCAAGTTATGATAGTATGTAGAGTATGATCACTATTTTACTTACGTTTTAATATATATACATTATAATTGTATATATATTGGTATTGCTACATCCAGTATATTTTCTCTATTTTCTACATTTTCATATGCTCTGAAAGAAAATAGTAATGTAAAAAGAGACATGACTTCTCAAAACTCAAGAATTTTACTTCTAATTCACACACATATGTAACATGTAAAGGGGCATTCATTGCTGTACTATTTCTAAGAACTAACATTTGGAAACAACTTCAAAGTCCAGCAATTAGAGATTAGATTAATAAAATATGGTATATTCATAGGATAGAATATAATGTAGCATTTCAGCAAAAAAAATTAAATTTTTGTTCACCAGCATAAGTAGATCTTAAAAAATGTGTGAAGAAAGCACAATACAGAGCAGTATGTGTCTACTGTTATGTCAATGGATTCACTGGTACATAAAAATATAAGGAAGCCCACGAATCTAATGACACTGGATACCAACTAGAAGAAGAAATGAGAATATAAGGGGGAAAGGGTCTGGTTAAAAGAGACTTCAATAAATGGATAGATGAAGTCTGTAAGCAAACGTAACAACTTAATAACTGCTAGAGGCATATGGTTCTTTCATTATTCTTTGTACTTTTCCAGGCTTTAAGAAATTTCTCAAAAAATTAAACACCTAATTGTAGGCAAGAAAGTAAAGACAAAATTTAGAGCACTCGAATTTTACCGTGAAGGAGAGAAGAGAAAAACATCAGAAGCTTGAGGGGAATACATTGTCAATAGATTTTTTAAAAAGGTGGGATATACTAAAGCTGTGTTTTGAATTGAGCCATGACTCTTTGATGGTATATGAAATCAATGTAATGGGTCATTATTGACCATTCCATTATTTTAGTCCATTATTTAATGGTCCCTCCATTATTTTTAATGGAATCTGTGCAGAAAAGTATTAACAGGGTTGGGACTGCTGTTTTTAGAAAGTTTTTAGAAAGTTCTCTTTGTAAGTTTTCTTTTAAAGAAAATGTGGCACATAAACACCACGGAATACTGTGCAGCCATAAAAAAAAGGATGAAGCTGGAAACATCATTCTCTGCAAACTAACACAGGAACAGAAAACCAAACACCACCTGTTCTCACTCATAAGTGGGAGCTGAACAATGACAACACGTGGACACAGGGAGGGGAACATCACACACCGGGGCCTGTGAGGGGGTGGGGGGCAAGGGGAGGAATAACATTAGGTAATACCTAATATAGATGATGGGTTGATGGGTGCAGCAAACGGCCATGGCACGCGTATACCTATCCAACAATCCTGCACGTTCTGCACATGTATCACATAAAGCATAATAAAAAAGAAATAGTTGGAAATTAGAATCAATAAGGAAGTGTATAAAAAATAATGGTGTATTTTCCATGGGATACTACGTAGCCATGAAAAGGAATGGTTTCCTCTGGACTTGGCCCCATGCACCTTTTCTCTTTGCTTCTTTTCCCTTTTGCTGCAGTAAATCGTAGCTGTGAGTACAACTTAAAATTTTTAAAAAGACATGGTCATATGAAAATATGTTTTGAAAACTTTTTATGACACTGCCTTTCAATATGCTTTATGTAAATAGTCATATGAATTTCCTTAGAATTTTATGCATGGAAAACTTCCTCTTGCCCAATGAGTTACTATATTTTTCTTTATTGAACAAAAACAGTTATACACCATATTGTATTTTTCATTTGCCTTTTCACTGGGAAACTGTTAAATGTGGGGATTAATTGGTAGTTGTCCTAAGCAAGGTTTTTGAATCAGCAGTATTAGCTCTTTGATGAACTGGCAGCTGTTCCTTCTCCATCTTTGGTAGCTTTATTTGTCTCTATTGTCACAAGCTGCTTTAAGGTTGTTCTGTGGAATTATAAATTAGCTATACAAAACAAGTGTATGAATGGCTAAAATAACAAGGATAACCTATCTTGGGGAAAGAAGACTTCTGTATAGATAATCTTATTATGAGAAGTGTTCACATTTCTCTGCACTTGATACTAGGATTATCTGTTCTATAGGCCTTTAAGCTCAAGTCTTATAACCCTATCATTAAAATAGGGATTAAATTCCTTTCTTAATTATGTATATTTAAATGCCATTAACTTTGGAAGGTTATAATTACATATTAACTGACTGTATTTTTTTATTGTGGGCACTAGTCATTTTAATCTTTCTATTCAAACTGTGTTCAGTAGTTATTCTGATACAAGCATAGCATAATAAATGGGTTAACATATGCAGTGGTGAAAGGTCAAAATGAAACATAGCATTGCCAATACTAAGGGAAAGAATTCACTTTATAAAAGAGGGTACCACATATTTTCACGAATCACATTTTCTGATGCGTTTAAAATATTTTGGTTACATCCAGTCTTCTAGTAGCACATAATCAATTGACTTAAAGTTTTTATAAGTGTAACAACTATCCATTTCTAACACTAGCTATTCAATAATTTGTGGTAGGGTAACATGGAATTGTTTAAGAAAAGTTGTATGTTTTTTATAGAGACATGGTATGAGGGCTCCTTACTTTCAAATTAGCATTAATTAGAGGTAGTGTAGAATCATATAATGCCACTGTTTTATATCTGTATCTTGTACAGTGTTTTAAATAATTTCTTACTTAAGCCTTCCCCCTTTCATTTGAGGAAAGTTAACAATTATCTTTATTTTTATAAGATCAGGTGACTAATGGAAATCCAGGGGGCACTGGTATTGAGCAAGAAAACAGAATTATTTCTAGTATTTTCTTCAGAATTTGGCTTTAGTTTTGCAACAGAATGATCTCATTTTATTTAAGGGACAGTTCTCTTTGAGCACAAGATTTTTGATGAAAACATAGCATCTTGTTTGTGTTTGTTGAAGACTTTTCAAACACATTAGCATTTATAAAACTTGAGCTTTAACTCACAAAGACAGTGAGAGAAAAGGAAAAGCCAACAGTGAACCAGAAATCAGATTTATTTTTAGGGAAAAAAAAGGATAGATGGATAAACTGACTTAGCAAATCTGTTTGTTAACTTAGACGATTAAAAAAGGAATATCAACAATAAAGAGGCTAGTGTGCACCAGTGAATCTCAGAAAGTCTTTGGTAAAGATGGTAGTAGGACTAGTTGAAAACCTAAATAAGGAAGAGGAATGCTACCCTCCTCACCTCTCTTGACCATGACTAGGTGACTACCCCTCTCCCAGAGTAATGAAGACTGGAGGTGTGCACTGGAGGTACTGCAGTGTGGTGATATAGATGCACCATACTGAAAGTAGGGAATCTATGGAGAATCCATATAAAGGGTGGTAAGTCTCCCCGGACTCCATTTGGCCACATGTTCCAGCACTAACAGCTGGACATACACCTCCAGGCATAAAACTTGAGGATTCTTCTCTGGGGAAAGTGTACAGCCCCAAGGAAAAGATCCTAGGTTACTGCTGCTTGGGACATTTGATCTCCCAGTAAAAAAGCCCGCTTGCCTCTGATCACAGAGATGCAATTAGCCAATGAGGCTGGCTCACAGATCTTCCAGTTAGCTTCCTACTGCATCTCTCTTAAATGCAGATTTCATGACACCTCCACGAGGAGGTTGTACACCATTTGAAAATCCCTTCCTTTGAAAATCACCTGTCATCATCTGTTTTTCAATCGTAGCTATTTATTTTGGTATTACCTTAATGTTTCCAAATATACTTATGCTCCTACATTAGAGATTGACTTCCTATTACAAAAGATTAGAACTTACAACTCTGCTATCTTTCTTACCATTTTACCCACCTCCATCCATCCTCTCGATAGCTATCATACAGTTTTTTGTTAATTAATAATCTACATTTAGAATACTGTGACTATATAAGCAACACTTTTTATTGCTGAGTCTAACAATATATATGTTATTCTTATATGACTATTACATTCCTAAACCTAAATTTTCCCCTTTTTATTTTTTAGCTTTCTATACTAATTACAAATTAATTTTTAACCCTTATTACCTTTTACTCTCCACTTGAATTATAAACCTCTCCAAAGATCATTTTCCACCAAATTAGACGAATAATTTAGTTTCTCAAGTTCCATTTTTTTCCTTCTTACAGGCACACTGTCTGGTGCCCTCTGTCTTTCTCCAACACTTACTGGTGCTAGGCCTGCTACATTTCTCCAACACTGAAGCCCTTGGCCTCCTGGATTCCATGTTGCCTGCTCTCTTGCTTGATGTCCCCTTTTTTGCAGTGGGGGGGGAGTGAAAAAATCCTTTATTAAAATAATTTATATTAAAATAACATGTTGCCATTTTTGCCCAACAGATTAAAGTTGCTGTTTGCCTCTTAGCTTAGTCAGCTTTGTGGAGAAGAGCCCAGTAACCCTGGGCGAGGGACTCCAGGTGCTGTGAAGGCATCCAGCCTGTCTCAAGGGGCCAGGTGCTGGTCTCTCTTGGTGCCGCTTTTCCCATGCAGTGCTGCTGGCGTGAGTTCCCTGTGCCAGACTTCCCACCCTCAGCAGAACTTCAGACAGAGCTGTTCACGAGAATGATAAACAGCTACCATTGCAATTCGCAGACACCCGCTGGCTTGGGCTCAGATGTCTGCCAAGGTCTTGATTATTCTATTTTAGTGTATTTCAACAAACAAATACTAAGTGCTTACTGTATGCAGGGCAGGGTCCTGGTGTTCCCTAAGATGCCAAGACAAATAGAATGTGGTATGTGCCTATGAGAAGTATATGATCCAGAGAAAGAGGGCTTGAGACAAATCAATATCTGTTATTAAAAGGGTAGAGAATGTGAAATGATTTTAGAGGCAGACAAACAATATTCTGTGAGCATTTGGTATTCACAAGTCCGCCTAGTTTTTACTTCTATCATGCAGGTCTTTCTCAGAATGACGGGCTGGAGCCTAGTCATCCAGATGGTTTGGGACTTTATAGAACCATGATTCATGGATGTGAGATCTGGTTGTTGTTGCCTTTTTTTTTTTAAATTGCCCTGCTTTCTGATGTTAATTACTGCAGCTGGGCTGCCAAGTAAACATCTGTTCCGGGTAGGATTCTAGATAAAGGCGTATTGCTTTGGCTTGTCTTGTTGGAAACTATTTTTACCTCACATAGAATATTATATAATCTCCATGAATACTGTATACTATGTATGGACTATTACAGATCAACACATGCCTAGAACATTCACAGAAGAGGGGAAAACAACAAATAAATACTCTAACATATATTAAAGCTTACAATTAGTAAGATACACACAAGCATTAAAATAATAATATTGCCATTTTTCCTTATCAAATTAAAGGCAAAAGTTTTGGAGGGTTTTTGTATTTTTTCATTTGTATGCTTATTTTTCTAAATGATAGAATTCATCATGGCAAGTTGTAATTACTATCATGGAACGTAAATAAACATGGCTTTTAGAAAGCAGTTTGGCAATATGTGTTAAAAGTCTCACAATAATCAGATACTTTAACCCAGTATTTTCAGTTCTGGGAATCTACCCTAAGGAAACACAGAATGAACTTTATGCAAAAGTTATTCATCCCACATTATTTATAATAGCATTAAGTTGGAGACAGCCTCCATGTGGAGTTTAACTGTGGTTCCTCTACTCTCTGAAGTATTATACAATGTTCAGAAACAATGATTATAGACAGTAATAACATGGAAAAAGCTTTTTTTTTTTTTTTTGAGACGGAGTCTTGGTCTGTCACCAAGGCTGGAGTGCAATGGCGCGATCTTGGCTCACTGCAACCTGTACCTCCCGGATTCAAGCAATTCTCTGCCTCAGCCTCCCAAGTAGCTGGGATTACAGGTGCCTGCCACCATGCCCGACTAATTTTTTGTATTTTTAGTAGAGACGGGGTTTCACCATCTTGGCCAGGCTGGTCTTGAACTCCTGACCTCGTGATCTACCCACCTCGGCCTCCCAAAGTGCTGGGATTACAGGCGTGAGCCACTGCACCCGGCCAGAAAATGCTTACCTTATGTTACATGGAAAAGCAAGTTACCAAGTTGAATTCAGAGTACATGTAGAATAAATATATTCTACAAGGACTTATATGAAAATGTTGATATTGGTAGTATTAGGATGGTAAGACAAAGCCTGATTTTTTCCCCATTTTTCTGTTTTCCCAGTTTCCTTTATAAAGTCATTTATCAGCTGTACAAACACAGGTGACCTTACTTTCCCTGTATAACTGAAAAATTGACTAGGAAGATCAGACATTGTGCTCTTCAATAAGTAAGAACAGCCATTCCCAGGATTGTCATTAAACACTTTCCCATGCCTTCCCCCCTTTTTTTGAGATGGAGTCTCACTCTGTCACCCAGGCTGGAGTGCACTGGCATGATCTCAGCTCACTGCAACTTCTGCCTCCCAGGTTCAAGCCATTCTCCTGCCTCAGCCTCCCAAGTAGCTGGGATCACAAGCATGCACCACCACACCTGGCTAATTTGTGTTATTTTTAGTAGAGATGGGGTTTCACCATGTTGGCCAGGCTGCTCTCGAACTCCTTACCTTAGGTGACCACCTACCTTGGCCTCCCAAAGTGCTGGGATTACAGGCCTGCACCACCATGCCTGGCCTGTTTTCTTACTGGTTCTAACAAGTGAGGCCCACAGCAGATCTATTTGGTTTATAGGAGAAAATACATTTCTATTCTCCCTCAAAACATGAAGAGATTATTCAACAGTTATGTAAAATTTATATAGCTCCATTATATACAGTACGAATTCAGTGAAATTATAGGCAGTAACAGTTTTGAAAATTAACACATTAACAAAAATAAGTAACAATTAATGTTCTTTCACCTGAGCAGCCTAGGAAACTCTGGGGAAGTTGGACTAGGAAGGATGAGCAGGCTGACAGGGCCAGAAAGGTTTTCCTTCTCTACATCTCTGCCCTTTTTCTTTCAATTAGCACATTGAGTGCAACAGCTGAACTGCAACCAGCCAGGGGTGTGGTTGTTCCTTTAAGGGAGGCTGGGCTTCTGGCCTACATGTGGCCTCTGCCCTGGTAGTTAAGACTGAACATTTTTATCTTCTTATAAACCAGTGATCAAGGCCAATTTGGCTGTCATCTCTCCCTACCCCATGAACCCCTTAAAATAGTCCAGAACAGGATGCTGATTTTTCTACTTACAATTACACATTACACGCTAGACAAAACAAACATACACAATCACACTTCCTTCCCTTTAATTTATGTCCCTTGGACTAGTGGTCTGGTGCTCTCCTTTGTCACCTATGTCCCTGCTTGACCTTGAGTTTTCTGTAGCTAGAGATCACTATTTAGAAAAACCTCACACTATCTCTATTAACCTCTTTTTGAATTTCAACAATTATTTCTTAAGCACCTACTTTATGTCAGGTTAGTGAGCAAGGTATTAGAGATGCCAGAATAAACAAGGCACAGTTTCTGCCCTCAAAGAATTTATAGGATAATAGGGAAAACAAACAATTTTGCTAGAATAGGATAAGTAAAAATGACAGGAATAAGCACAGGTTGCTACAGGAGCAAGTCTTGTTAAGGATCACCTGATACAGTTTTGAGGTATTACAAAAGGCTTCCAAAAGAATTTGATGTCTGAGGTAAGACCTGAAGGATTTAAGCAAGAAAAATATGTGTAAAGTATGTCCTGGGTAGAACAAAAGCATGCGGAGGAGCCCAGAGGCAAAATCAAATATGATTGAGGCATAGCCTGCAATGGGGCAAAAGGGAGTCCAGAAAAGTGGTCACATTTTCACATGGAGGGAGTTTTCACTTTATCCTGAACACAAGGGCATTATTGAAGTATTTTAATTAGTGGAGTTGTATGATCAGACTTGTGTTGTAAAAAGAGTGCTCCAGAGAAGAGGGCACCCTTGTATACTGTTGGTGGGAATGTAAAGTAGTACAGCCATTACAGAAGACAGTATGGAGGATCCTCAAAAAACTTAAAATAGAACTGCCAGATGATCCAGAATCTCACTATTGCATCTATATCTCAAGGAAATGAAATTAGTATGTTGAAGAGATATCTGTACTCCCATGCTCATTGTGCCCTGTTCACAATAGCCAAGATATGGAAACCACCTAAGTGCCCATTGATAGATGAGTGGATAAAGAATATCTAGTATATTTAACAATGGGATGTTAATCAGTCTTTAGAAAGAAGGAAATACTGTCATTTGCAGCAATATGGATGAACCTGGAGGACATTACGTTGAGTAGGATAGACCAGGCACAGAAAGACAAATGCCACATGGTCCCCCTTTATATATGGAATCTTAAAAAGTCAAACTCATAGAAGCAGAAAGCAGAATGTTGGTTACCAGGGGATGGGCATGGGGGGAAAAGGACTAAGGAGATGTTGTTCAAGACATGCAAAATTTCTGTTAGGAGGAATAAGTTCAAGCAACCTATTGTACAGTATGGTGACTATAGTTAGTAACAATGCATTGTATACTTGAAAATTGCCAAGAGAGTAGATTTTAAGTACTTTCACTGCAAATAAATAAATATGTGAGGTAAACAAAATGAAACAAAGAGTACTCCAAAGCCTGGACTAAGTAGCATTGGAGATCAAAAGATGTAAATGATTGTTTGAAGAATTAATAAAGTAGGATTTTGTTGATGGTTGAGGGAGAGAGGAAGCAGAAGAAAAGTCGGGAGGGGATATTACTTTGCTTTCTGTGCCATTTTCATGATAAGGAACATGAAGGAGGCCAGGCACGGTGGCTCACGCCTGTAATCCCAGCACTTTGGGAGGCTGAGGCAGGCGGATCACCTGAGCTCAGGAGTTCGAGACCACCCTGAGCAACACGGTAAAATCCCATCTCCACTAAAATACCAAAAATTAGCCAGGCATGGTGGTGCACGCCTGTAATCCCAGCACTTTGGGAGGCTGAGGCAGGCGGATCACCTGAGCTCAGGAGTTCGAGACCACCCTGAGCAACACAGTAAAATCCTGTCTCCACTAAAATACCAAAAATTAGCCAGACATAGCGGTGCATGCCTGTAATCCCAGCTACTCGGGAGGCTGAGGCACGAGAGAATCTCTTGAGCCCGGGAGGCAGAGGTCGCAGTGAGCCAAGATCATGCCACTGCACTCCAGCCTGGGTGACAGGGTAAGACTCTGTCTCAAAAAAAAAAAAAAAAAAAAATGAAAGTGGGCAGTCAGGGGGACATGGGAAGTGATGAGTTTGTTTTTAGACTGTTGAGTTTGAGGTATTTGACTGAAGACATCAAGTAGGGAATTAAACGTAGATATCAGAAGCTTAGTATAGAGATCTGGACTGGTGTTTTAACATGTGGGAGCTTGCACTGTATATATATGTGGAGTTGAAACCATGGGAGTGGAAGAGTAACTAACCCTCAGAAAGATTAACCAATGAGAACAATCCATTATAAATGCAACCTCAGAGACTCAGGAAGCCTTAAAGGATAGATGCAGGGAAAATCCACAAAGGAGGATACAGGGGACAGAAAGAAGTCAGGAAAATCAGGAATGTGATGTGCTAGAGGTCAAGAAAGAAACAGAACTCAACAGTGTCAGATGTTGCAAAGGAGGCAGTAAAGTAAGGATTCAAATGGACATTTAGTAACCAGAAGGTGATTGATAATTTTGTAGAGAATGACTGAAAGTCATTTCAAGGAGGAGGTGAGACAGATAGCAGTGGGTTTTTTAATGTGGACGTGAACACAAGAACATTAAATAATCTTTCATTTGGCTTGGCTGCAAATGGACAGATGATAAGGACTGGAGACCAAGGCACACAATCCTAACGAGTTTTTTGTTTTCTTTTGCTTTTATAGTGGGAGAAACTTGAGCATGCTTATCAGTTTGAGTGTCTGAAGTTAGCAGAGGGAGGTGAGATTCCTGACAAGGCAGGTGGAAATAATCATCCTAGAAATTTTGCAAAGTCCTGCTTTCTACCGAGGAGGGAGGGAGGAAGGGATATTTCCAAAGGAAGGAAGGAAGGAAGGAAGAAAAGAAGGAAGGGAGGGAGGGAGGGAGGGATATTTCCAAATGTACTCCCTTATGAGTGGGGAACAGAAAGTTGAAGGTGTTCTAAGGAAGGGAGGGAGTGAGGAAAGAAGGGAGGGATATTTCCAAATGTACTCCCTTATGAGTGGGGAACAGAAAGTTGAAGGTGTTCTAGGGAGGGAGGAAGGGAAGGAGGGAGGGAGGGAGGGAGGGAAGGAAGGAAGGAAGGAAGGGATATTTACAAATGTACTCTCTTATGAGTGGGGAACAGAAAGTTGAAGGTGTTCTCAGCTGATCCTGTTGGATTTTTATTCTGTCAAGTACAAGGTGAAGTTTTTGACTGTGTGCATATTGGTCAGTTGAAAGGAAAAGTTAAGAGTAAGGCCTTGAAGAGGGAGGTGAAATGGTTCATGGGTAAGAAAGAAGCACCCCAGAGGGTCCCAGAGAAGGTTGCTGCTCAGTGATGATAGCCCATATGATCGTGGAGACCATCTGCTTGTCCACAGCACTGAGGGAGATGAAAGTTAGACTGCTTGTACTTTTCAAAGTATCACATCCAAAAATGTATTACCTGCCTTTGATGAAGTACTTAAGAATTCTCAGTGGCCGCTAGCAACATGGCATTATTATTCTAAGCAGCCAGTTTTGCAAAACCTGGGTAGACATCTGCAGTGACACAGTGGCAATGTGTCCAGGCTCTGCCAGTGACTAACATTGAATTAAAGCTTTAGTACTTTCTTTCTGGGTGACCTTGGGCAAACTAATTCTGTACTTGGGATCCTGGTAGGGTCTTTATCAGGAGTAACTGAGGTTAATCAATGGAAAATGCTTAGAATAGTGCCTGGCACATACTAAACGCTCAACAAATGTTAGCTGCTGCTATCATCATCATCGTCATCATTATCATTAAGTTTATTGTGATAATAGGATAAATTTCTAGGATGATACAATTCAAGCCTTTAGAGCATTGAGAGCGTAAACGTGTCATCAGTACTCCACATTTCTGTGTAGAAAGAATGACAAAAGGTATTCCTGTTTTGGGGAAGATAACTTTGAAACAAGTATTTAAAACATTTCTCTGAGAAAAAAAAAAGGGAATCACAGTTAGGTGCTATACAAGTCAGCTTTTTTTAGGTAGGGAAGGTTGCATATTCAGTCCTTAAACTCTGCAAGAATTGCACTGCTTCCCTGTGTGACTCTTGACCCTGTGGAAGACAAGTGGGGTGTGAAATCTGCCCAAATCATCTCCCTTACTGGATGAAAAAAATGAAAACAAATTAAAATGAACTGTGATATACTAGTTATAGAGTAGTATTATTTTCACATGCAAAGAGTAATTGTGTTTTGGATACAGTAAATATTAATATTAATATATTAATGTTTATTATATTTGTTGAATGAACATGACATAATTTGTACCATTCTTTTTTAAATTTTTTAAACTATTTTTTAACATTTTTGTGGGTACATAGTAGGTGTATATATTTATGGAATATATGAGCTGTTTTGATGTAAGCATGCAGTGTGAGATAAGCACATCATGGAGAATGAGGTATCCATCCCCTCAAGTATTTATCCTTTGAGTTACAAAAAATCCAATTACATTAAGTTATTTTAAAATACACAATTAAGTTATTATTGACTGTAGTGATCCTATTGTGCTATCAAATAGTAGGTCTTATTCATTCTTCCTGGGCTTTTTTGTACCCATTAACCATCCCTACCTCCCCGCCAATGCCCAACTACCCTTCCCAGCCTCTAGTAACCATCCTTCTACTCTCTATGTCCGTGAGTTCAATTGATGTGATTTTTAGATCCCAGAAATAAGTGAGAACATGCAATGTTTGTCTTTCTTTGCCTGGCTTATTTCACCTAACAGAATAATCTGCAATTTCCTCCATATTGTTGCAAGTGACAGGATGTCATTCTTTTTTATGGCTGAATAGTACTCCATTGTGTATATGTACCACATTTTCTTTACCATTTGTCTGTTGATGGACACTTAGGTTGCTTCGAAATCTTAGCTGTTGTAAACAGAGCTGCAACAAACAGAAGTGTAGAGATCTCTTCAATATACTGACTTCCTCTCTTTTGGGTATATACCCAGCAGTGGGATTGCTGGATCATATGGTAGCTCAATTTTCAGTTTTTTGAGGAACCTCCAAACTGTTGTCCATAGTGGTTGTACTAATTTACATTCCCACCAAAAGTGTACAAAGGTTCCCTTTTCTCCATATCCTCACCAGTATTTGTTATTGCCTGTCTTTTGGATACAAGCTGTTTTAACTGGGGTGAGACGGTATCTCTTGTAGTTTTGATTTGCATTTCTCTGACATCAGTGATGTTGAGCATCTTTTCATATGCCTGTTCACCATTTATTCAAATCATTGCCCATTTTTTAATCAGATTATTAGATTTTTTCCTGTAGGGTTGTTTGGACTCCTTATATATTCTGGTGATTAATTTCTTATCAGAGGAGTAGTTTGAAAATACTTTCTCCCATTCTGTGGGTTGTCTCTTCACTTTGTTGGTTATATCTTTGCTGTGTAGAAGCTTTTTAACTTAATGTGATCCCATTTGTCCAGGTTTGCTTTGGTTGCCTGTGTGTCCTATTCTTAATGCCAGATATAGTTTGTTAGTTTATCTTAATCCCCCTTTTTTGGTTCAGTACCCCTTTAAATATATGACAAAATCTGGGAGTATGTACTCCCAACAATGCACAGGTGAACAACACACAAAGATAATTTGAGGACCCCAAGATAGGAGCACCTTTTCATATGCCTGTTTGCCATTTGTAGGTCTTCTTTTGAGAAATGTCTATTCAAATCTTTTGCCCATTTTTTATTAGGCTATTATATATTTCTTTTGGAACTACACTGAGTGTATATAGTGTATACAGTGTATATTTTGGAACTATACTGAATGAATATAGTGCAAAATTTCTTTTGGAACTACACTGAGTTTCTCACTGTATATATTTAGTGTAGTTCCAAAAGAAATATGTTTCTAGAATATATATTATGGCAAAATGTATTATAATTCAGTTTTAAAAAGTGGAAAGAGCATAAAATAAAACTGGAAATAATAACTGATGCAAAATTGCACTATATGAAAATGCTTAAATTATGCAATTATTCTCTTTTTACACTTGTACCTGTGTTTCACTTAAAAGAGAATGGTGTAAGAGCTTTTTAAAATAAGGTTTTTTTTTTAGTTTTACTTATTATTTACTGTGTTAAATTACTGTGATGTGTTCCACTGGGCTTTTTTTACTGCTTATGTAAGTCTTCTGATGTGCTGTCTTACTGCCTTTTTATATATTTTATCTTAGCTAGTTTTCTTAAGTGAATTATTTCAATCAAACTTCATATTTGATCTATCTCAGTTGTAACATGTGAGAAAATATTTACCTGGTTGACCAATAACAAAATCAAGAAGTTTTAACTGTATTGAAATTACCCAAAGAAATTAGAAAGCTCAGTTGAAGCAGAACAGGATTCTCTAAAATGTATTTTCAATAACAAGACATTTAAAACTGAATATTCCAATCCCTTTTCAACCTAATTACAAACTTTGCAGTAAGAGTTTGGAGTATATTCTTTCAGCATGGAAGTCTTTTTTGGACACCTCTCTAATCCAGTAATATTTTTAAGAGACACTTATACCCCTAGAATGAGTTTGTTTTCTCCCTATTTTGAAGGTATTAAACATCAAAAGCAAAGACAGCTTTTTAAAAACATATATATTCTTTTATTTTTTCATATTCAAATACACTTTGATTTAGTTCCTGGGGGATATAAAGGAAAATATGGTTCCTCTACACTAAACAGCATTTTATATTTGGAAGTAATGAATAGAAGCCAGGAAGGAGGAAATTATTTCTTTCTTTATTGAATCTAAAAACTCCAGGTAATGAACAGACCATTCGTAGAACTGGGTGGATGGTGCACAAAGATACTTTGTTTTGGCATGAAAAGGCTCCGTTGAAGTTTCTGTTAAAGAACTATGTTAACTTGGTTTAACATCTAAGAAGGCATTGATACTTGCCAATTTTGAAAGACCAAACTCTGTAGGGGGGAGAAGTGTAAATGTTGTTGGTAAAAATGTAGAACGTGCATTTTTTAAAGTGTCAAACGTTGATTACCTCCAGGTTTGCAGTTATTATCATAAGAAATGATCTTGTCATTATATCTGTTAAGTAGTTTTGAAGATGAAAAGTTTTGGAATAAAAAAAAATTTTTGAAATCAGCTACATAAAAGGAACATTGCTATCTGTGAATTAGCTGAGATGACGACAGCACTGTGTAGGGTGGGATTCCCATAGGGCTTAGTTTACTTGGGACATAGCTGCTTTGTTACTCCGTTTTCATGCTGCTGACAAAGACATACCTGAGACTGGGAAGAAAAAGAGGTATAATTGGACTTAAGAGTTACACGTGGCTGGGGAGGCCTCAGAATCATGGCGGGAGGTGAAAGGCATTTCTTACATGGCAGCAGCAAGAGAAAATGAAGAAGAAGCAAAAGCAGAAACCCCTGATAAACCCATCAGATCTTGTGAGACTTATTCACTATCACAAGAATAGCATGAGAAAGACCAGCCTCCATGATTTAGTTACCTCCCCCTGGGTCCCTCCCACAACACGTAGGAATTCTGAGAGATACAATTCAGGTTGAGATTTCAGTGGGGGCACAGCCAAACCATATCATTCTGCCCCTGGCCCCTCTAAATCTCATGTCCTCACATTTCAAAAACAGTCATGCCTTCCCAACAGTCCCCCAAAGTCTTAACTCATTTCAGCATTAACCCAAAAGTCCACAGTCCAAAATCCCATCTGAGACAAGGCAACTCCCTTCCTCCTAAGAGTCTGTAAAATCAAAAGCAAGCTAGTTACTTCCTAGATACAATGGGAATACAGGTATTGGGTAAATACAGTCATTCCAAATGGGAGCTATTGGCCAAAAGGCCAAAACAAAGGGTTTAGAGCGCCCATGCAAGTCCAAAATCCAGTAGGGCAGTCCAATTTTAAAGTTCCAAAATGATCTCCTTTGATTCCAGGTCTCATATCCAGGTCACGCTGATGCAAGAGGTGGGTTCCCATGGTCTTGGGCAGTTCTGCATCTGTGGCTTTGCAGGGTACAGTCTCCCTCCTGGCTGTTTTCATGGGCTGGCATTGAGTGTCTGCGGCTTTTCCAGGCACACGGTGCAAGCTGTCGGTGGATGTACCATTCTGGGGTCTGGAGGACAGTGGCCCTCTTCTTGCAGCTCCACTAGACGGTGCCCCAATAGGGACACTGTGTAGGGTCTCCGACCCCACATTTTCCTCCCGCACTGCCCTAGCAGAGGTTCTACATGAGGGCCCTGCCCCTGCAGCACACTTTTGCCTGGGCATCCGGGCGTTTCCCTACATCTTCTGAAATGTAGGTGGAGGTTTCCAAACCTCAGTTCTTGACTTCTTTGCACATGCACGCGGAACACCACATGGAAGCTGTCAAGGTTTGGAGCTTCCACCCTCTGAAGCCACAGCCCGAGCTGTATGTTGGCCTCTTTCAGCCATGGCTGGAGCAGCTGGGACACAGGGCACCAAGTCCCTCAGCTGCACACACCCTGGGGACTGTGGGCCCAGCCCACGAAACCACTTTTTCCTCCAGCGCCTCCAGGCCTGTGATGCTAGGAGCTGCGATGAAGGCCTCTGACATGGCCTGGAGATATTTTACTCATGATCTTGGGGATTAACATTAGGCTTCTTGCTGTGTATGTGAATTTCTGCAGCTGGCTTGAATTTTTCTGTAGAAAATGGGTTTTTCTTTTCTATCACATTGTCAGGCTTCAAATTTTCCAAACATTTACGCTGTTTCCCTTTTAAAACTGAATGCTTTTAACAACACCCAAGTCAACTCTTAAATGCTTTGCTGCTTAGAAATTTTTTTCATCAGATACTCTAAATCATCTCTCTCAAGTTCAAAGTTTCAGTTCCACAAATCTCTAGGGCAGGGGCAAAAAGCTGCCAGTTTCTTCACTGAATCATAATGAGAGTCACCTTTGCTCTAATTCCCAACAAGTTTCTCATCTCCATCTGAGACCACCTCAGCCTGGACCTTCTTGTTCATATCACTATAAGCATTTTCATTAAAGCCATTCAGCTAGTCTCTAGGAAGTTCCAAACTTTCCCACATTTTCCTATCTTCTTCTGAGCCCTCCAAGCTGTTCCAACCTCTGCCTGTTACCTAGTTCCAAAGTTGGTTCCACATTTTCGGGTATCTTTTCAGCAATGCCCCACTCTACTGGTACCAATTTACTGTATTAGTCCATTTTCACACTTTTGACAAAGACATACACAAGACTGGGAAGAAAAAGAGGTTTAATTGGACTTACAGTTCCGCATGTCTGGGGAGGCCTCAGAATCATGGTGGGAGGTGAAAGGCACTCCTTACATGGCAGCAGCAAGAGAAAATGAGGAAGATGCAAAAGTGGAAACCCATCAGATCTCGTGAGACTTATTCATTATCACAAGAATAGCATGGGAAAGACCGGCCCCCCATGATTCAGTTACCTCCCCCTGGGTCCCTCCCACAAGTAGGAATTCTGAGAAATACAATTCAAGTTGAGATTTGGGTGGGGACACAGCCAAACCATATCAGCTGCTTTCTCCACTACACAGTAAAGAGGGTTAGGAGAAAACCCATAATTCATTAGTGCAAAGATATGGGATAGAAACTGAGACTAGCAAATGTATTCAGAAACAAACTTAAAATTCCTAATTCAATTTTGATAGGTAGAACTCCATACCCATAATTCTTAATAATCTGTCTTATTGTCAAGACCAATGCAAAGATTTGGTTTTACTGTCAGTTCTGCATCTAATATCTACCATAGTTAGGAAACACTTATGCCAAATATATAAATATATATATATATTTCTTATCTCCAGAATATTTTGTCAAGTAAAGAAAGCTAGGTGAATATTATTTGCTAACATTTGGGTTAAATATTTAAGTTAAAAAAGGACAAAATATGTATATTTGTATTTCATGTATATACTTTAAAAGTTTCTGGAAGGAAACGACAACCATTTTGTGGGGTGAATGGAGAAAAGAGGACAGTTGTAAGAGATAATTGTATGTCTACTTTATACTTTTTGGTTTATGAACTATGATCATTTTTGAGCTTATTTTAAAAACTGAATTAAAAATTTAAAAATTTGCATAAGAGGATAAGGGAGCACGAACATTCAGATAGTAAGGAGGGAAGAAAAGTTTAAGTAATGTAAAAAAGATGATTGTAGAAAAGTACATTTGGACTGGTTTCATGAAACATTAATATCTCATTAATTGTACAGTTATTATTTTAACTGTAATATTAAACATTGTTTTGGGGAACCTTTAAGTACTATGATAACTCTTTCCAAATTACACGTGAGTGTGGTTTTATTGTACTTTTCCCTGATGACTTATGAAGTTGAATACATTTTCATATGCTCACTGGCCATTTGGACATTGTCTTTTGTGAAGTACCCATAAAGTCTCGACTATTTTTCTTTTTTTTTCTTTTTTCAATATATCCAAGGCCATATAATTAATACATTTCAGAGTTTGGATTTCAACTAAGATCTGTTTGCCTACAGATTCTGTGTTCTTTTTTTTTTTTTATACTTAAGTTTTAGGGTACATGTGCACAATGTGCAGGTTAGTTACATATGTATACATGTGCCATGCTGGTGTGCTGCACCCATTAACTCGTCATTTAGCATTAGGTATATCTCCTAATGCTATCCCTCCCCCCTCCCCCCACCCCACAACAGTCCCCAGAGTGTGATGTTCCCCTTCCTGTATCCATGTATTCTCATTGTTCAGTTCCCATCTATGAGTGAGAACATGCGGTGTTTGGTTTTTTGTCCTTGTGATAGTTTACTGAGAATGATGATTTCCAATTTCATCCATGTCCCTACAAAGGACATGAACTCATCATTTTTTATGGCTGCATAGTATTCCATGGTGTATATGTGCCACATTTTCTTAATCCAGTCTATCATTGTTGGACATTTGGGTTGGTTCCAAGTCTTTGCTACTGTGAATAGTGCCGCAATAAACATATGTGTGCATGTGTCTTTATAGCAGCATGATTTATAGTCCTTTGGGTATATACCCAGTAATGGGATGGCTGGGTCAAATGGTATTTCTAGTTCAAGATCCCTGAGGAATCGCCACACTGACTTCCACAATGGTTGAACTAGTTTACAGTCCCACCAACTGTGTAAAAGTGTTCCTATTTCTCCACATCCTCTCCAGCACCTGTTGTTTCCTGACTTTTTAATGATTGCCATTCTAAGTGGTGTGAGATGGTATCTCATTGTGGTTTTGATTTGCATTTCTCTGATGGCCAGTGATGATGAGCATTTTTTCATGTGTCTTTTGGCTGCATAAATGTCTTCTTTTGAGAAGTGTCTGTTCATATCCTTTGCCCACTTTTTGATGGGGTTGTTTGTTTTTTTCTTGTAAATTTGTTTGAGTTCATTGTAGATTCTGGATATTAGCCCTTTGTCAGATGAGTAGGTTGCGAAAATTTTCTCCCATTTTGTAGGTTGCCTATTCATTCTGATGGTAGTTTCTTTTGCTGTGCAGAAGCTCTTTAGTTTAATTGGAGCCCATTTGTCAATTTTTTCTTTTGTTGCCATTGCTTTTGGTGTTTTAGACATGAAGTCTTTGCCCATGCCTATGTCCTGAATGGTAATGCCTAGGTTTTGTTCTAGGGTTTTTATGGTTTTAGGTCTAACATTTAAGTCTTTCATTCATCTTGAATTAATTTTTGTATAAGGTGTAAGGAAGGGATCCAGTTTCAGCTTTCTCCATATGGCTAGCCAGTTTTCCCAGCACCATTTATTAAATAGGGAATCCTTTCCCCATTGCTTGTTTTTGTCAGGTTTGTCAAAGATCAGATAGTTGTAGATATGCGACATTATTTCTGAGGGCTCTGTTCTGTTCCATTGATCTATATCTCTGTTTTGGTACCAGTACCATGCTGTTTTGGTTACTGTAGCCTTGTAGTATAGTTTGAAGTCAGGTAGCGTGATGCCTCCAGCTTTGTTCTTTTGGCTTAGGATTGGCTTGGCGATGCAGGCTCTTTTTTGGTTCCATATGAACTTTAAAGTAGTTTTTTCCAATTCTGTGAAGAAAGTCATTGGTAGCTTGATGGGGATGGCAACTGAATCTATAAATTACCTTGGGCAGTATGGCCATTTTCACGATATTGATTCTTCCTACCCATGAGCATGGAATGTTCTTCCATTTGTTTGTATCCTCTTTTATTTCATTGAGCAGTGGTTTGTAGTTCTCCTTGAAGAGGTCCTTCACATCCCTTGTAAGTTGGATTCCTAAATATTTTATTCTCTTTGAAGCAATTGTGAATGGGAGTTCACTCATGATTTGGCTCTCTGTTTGTCTGTTATTGGTGTATAAGAATGCTTGTGATTTTTGTACATTGATTTTGTATCCTGAGACTTTGCTGAAGTTGCTTATCAGCTTAAGGAGATTTTGGGCAGAGACAATGGGGTTTTCTAGATATACAATGATGTCATCTGCAAACAGGGACAATTTGACTTCCTCTTTTCCTAGTTGAATACCCTTTATTTCCTTCTCCTGCCTAATTGCCCTGGCCAGAACTTCCAACACTATGTTGAATAGGAGTGGTGAGAGAGGGCATCCCTGTCTTGTGCCAGTTTTCAAAGGGAATGCTTCCAGTTTTTGCCCATTCAGTATGATATTGGCTGTGGGTTTGTCATAGATAGCTCTCTCTCGGCAGAAACTCTACAAGCCAGAAGAGAGTGGGGGCCAATATTCAACATTCTTAAAGAAAAGAATTTTCAACCCAGAATTTCATATCCAGCCAAACTAAGCTTCATAAGTGAAGGAGAAATAAAATACTTTACAGACTATTTTTCTTATGGGTTTGTTGTCTGCATGTTTCTCATTGCTTTGGAGTTCTTTATATGTTCTGGATATACAAAACTTGTCATTCATGTGTTCCAAATCTCTTCTCACACTTTTGTTTGCATTTCTTCTCTCTTAAAAATATTAATTGGTAAACAAAGATTTAAATTATAATCAATCCAGTTTATCAAAATGTTATGGTTTTTTAATGTCATGTGTAAGAAATCTTACTCTTTCCCAAGGTCATGAAGATGTTCTTTTTGATTATCTTTAGAAGCTTTTTCATTCGCCTTTTATATTTACAGTTACAGTCTACCTGGTTTGAGTTAAAAGTCAAGACTTATTTGTGGGTTTTTTTGTTTTTGTTTGTTTGTTTGCAGCTCCTCATCTGTTGAAGTTTTTTTTTTCAATTTTACTTTTATTTATTTATTTTATTATATTTTAAGTTCTGGGATACATGTGCAGAATGTGCAGGATTGTTACATAGGTATACATGTGCCATGGTGGTTTGCTGCACCCATCAACCCGTCATCTAGGCTTTAAGCCCCGCATGCGATAGTTATTTCTCCTAATGCTATCCCTCCCCTTGCCCCCTACCCCCTGACAGGCCTCGGTGTGTGATGTTCCCCTCCCTGTGTCCGTGTGTTCTAATCGTTCGACTCCCACTTATGAGTGAGAACATGCAGTGTTTGGTTTACTGTTCCTGTGTTAGTTTGCTGAGAATGATGGTTTCCAGCTTCATCCATGTCCCTGCAAAGGACGTGAACTCATTCTTTTTTATGGCTGCATAGTATTCTATGCTGTATATATGCCACATTTTCTTTATCCAGTCTATCATTGATGGGCATTTGGGTTGGTTCCAAGTCTTTGCTATTGTGAATAGTGCTGCAATAAACATACGTGTGCATGTGTCTTTATAGTAGAATGATTTATAATCCTTTGGGTATATACCCAGTAATGGGATTTCTGGGTCAAATGGTATTCCTGGTTCCAGATCCAAAAGGAATCGCAACAAAAGCCAAAGTTGACAAATGGGATCTAATTAAACTAAAGAGCTTCTGCACAGCAAAAGAAACTATCATCAGAGTGAACAGGCAGCCTACAGAGTGGGAGAAAATTTTTGCAATCTATCCATCTGACAAGGGGCTAATATCCAGAATCTACAAGTAACGTAAACATATTTACAAGAAAAAAAACATCAAAAAGTGGATGAAGGATATGAACAGACACTTCTCAAAAGAAAACATTTATGCAGCTAACAAACATGAAAAAATGCTCATCATCGCTGGTCATTAGAGAAATGCAAATCAAAACCACAATGAGATACCATCTCATGCCACTTAGAATGGCGATTAAAAAGCCAGGAAATAACAGATGCTTTTATTATTTATTATTTATTATATTTATTATATATTATTTATTATTTATTATAAAGCAGGAAATAACAGATGGAGAGGAAGTGGAGAAATAGGAATGCTTTTACACTGTTGGTGGGAGTGTAAATTAGTTCAACCATTGTGAAAGACAGGGTGGCGATTCTTCAAGACTGATTTTTTTAATGGATATTAAACCAACAGCACAATTTATTGAAAAAAAAAAAAAGTCCTGCCCACTGCCCTGTAGTGTTCATATGGAAGTGGTATTGTTCTATTCTCTTTTCTGTTCCATTGTTCTATTATCTATCCTTGTGCCACTGTCACACTAATGTAATTCCTATAGCTCTATGATCAGTCTTATTTCTGGCAGAAAAAGTTTTACAACTTTATTTTTCTAGATCAAGAGTATTAGTCTATTCAGGCTGTTGTATCAAAATACCAGAAACGGAGTAGCTTTTAAACAACAAACTACCAGCAAGGCACTTGAGGCTGAAGTTTTCTACTTGGGAATATGCCTTTTTCTCTGGTTGCTTCTTGTTACTGTGTGTTTGGTATTGATCACTTTTACTTGATGTACTTAAATGTTTTCTTTGTACTGTATTTATCTTGCTTAGAGTCAAGAGATTTCTGGAATTTTTGGCTTGATTTTTTAAATCATTTTTAGAAAAATTCAAAGGCATCTAGCACTAAGCCCTGTAGTTGCTGCTGAGTAAACAAAAAACCGTATGTGTCAGTAGAGCAGGCACCTTCCCATAATCACTGATGAGTAAAGTGAGGCGGACATCAGTGAGTCTGAAATCAATCTGCCCTGATGGTGCACCTCAAAGTAATTAATCCACACAAACTACCTGGAGCTGTGCTTTGCTTGTAGTAGATCTATGTATATTTTGTGATTATTGTTACTGCTTTCGTTGCAATATTCTCTTCTCTCTGCCATATTAACATATTTCCATTTTTCAAAACAGAGGAAATATGAAATTCCCTAGTATCAAGTGAGCAAAATCCAAAGCACCTTGTAAACTATCATGACCAACACTTACAACCATGATCAGAGTCATAAACTACACATTTGATAAATTGAGCAATGAGGCCTGAGATTTGTACTTTTTCCCGTCCTTTTCTTTGGAGAGTTTAATTAATTAGTCTGCCACTTTTCCAGAGGTCTTCATCACCTGAGTCATTAAATTACTTTTGAGTTCTCCCAGGTGGCAAATTAGCCATGTAGCTTGAACGTTAAGTGGATAATAGTGTCTCTTAATGATGCCTTGTAGATTCCTTTAGAGTTAAGCAATTTTTTCCTTTCAAGCATGGAAATGTTTTTGTTCAGAAAAACTGAACAGCATCTTTTTCAGTGATATAAATAGTTGTATTAGCATTTTACACACGGAGCAGCAAAATATCTTTAAGTACATTAAGTAGATAAAATCCAGTAAACAGAAGTTAGATGACATGTTATTTAGAATGTTAACTTGATACTAAAAAATTGACATTTTTGTAGATATATGGTATCATGGTTATGGTTTTAAAAAGACTTCTTAATTTTTTAGCCCCATACTGAAATATTTATGAATGAAATGACATGATATCTGGTATTTTCTTCAAAATAACATGGGAGGGCCATATTATTCAGGGTATAGAAGAAATAAGATTGGCTCTAAGTTGACAATGTAAGCTAGAGGATGGCTATTTAAGGATTCATAATACCCATCTGCCAACCTTCACATATACTTTAATTATCCCTAATAAAAAGTTTTTTAAACTATTGGGTAAATATTAAATGAATTAATACCAACAAATCCCAATTTGCTAGAAGACTATCAATGCCAATTTAATTGCTACATTCTCAAGGTCTATGAAGGCAGGATTCACGGCTTAATTCACTTTATACTATGGACTTTTTCTATCACCTATCCTATTGTTAGGAGCTTGGTATGAGTTTTTTTGGGTGTATTAATGATCTTTTTTTCTAATTTAATTTTTAAGTTCTGTGATACATATGCAGGATGTGTAGGTTTGTTGCATAGGTAAACGTGTGCCATGGTGGTTTGCTGCAACTATCAACCCATCACCTGGGTACTAAGCCCCACATGCATTAGCTGTTTCTCCTAATGCTCTCCCTCCCTCCACCCCATCCCCTGACAAGCCACAGTGTGTGTTGTTCCCGCCTGCCCCCATCCCTGCTGTGTCCATGTGTTCTTGTTGTTCAACTCCCACTTGTAAGTGAGAACATGTGATGTTTGGTTTTCTGTTCCTGCTTTAGTTTGCTGAGGATAATAGCTTCCAGCTCCATCCATGTCCCTGTAAAGGACATGGCCTCATTCCTTTTTATGGCTGCATAGTATTCCATGGTGCATATGTACCACATTTTTTTTTCTTTTTTAAAAAAATTTTACTTTAAGTTCCAGGATACATGTACCGAAGCAAGGGTTGCAATCCTAGTCTCTGATTAAACAGACCTTAAACCAACAAAGATCAAAAAAGACAAAGAAGGGCATTACATAGTGGTAAAGGGATCAACACAACAAGAAGAGCTAACTGTCCTAAATATATATGCACCCAATACAGGAGCACCCAGATTCATAAAACGAGTTCTTAGAGACCTACAAAGAGACTTAGACTCTCACACAATAATAATGGGAGACTTTAACACCACATTTTCAATATTAGACAGATCAACAAGACAAAATTAACAAGGACATTGAGGACTTGAACTCAGCTCTGGATCAAGTAGACCTAATAGACATCTACAGAACTCTCCACCCTAAATTAACAGAATATACGTTTGTCTCAGTGCCACATGGCACTTATTCTAAAATCAACCACATAAATGGAAGTAAAACACTCCTCAGCAAATGCAAAAGAACTGAAATCATAACAGACAGTCTCTCAGACTACAGTGCAATCAAATTAAAATTTAGGATTAAGAAACTCACTCAAAACCACACAACCACATAGAAATTGAACAACCTGCTCCTGAATGACTCCTGGGTAAATAACGAAATTAAGGCAGAAATGAAGAAGTTCTTTGAAACCAGTAAGGACAAAGAGACAACATACCAGAATCTCTGGGACACAGCTAAAGCAATGTTAAGAGGGAAATTTAGAGCACTAAATGCCCACATCAGAAAGCTGGAAAGATCTGAAATCAACACCCTAACATCACAACTGTAGAGAAGCAAGAGCAAACAAATTCAAAAGCTAACAGAAGACAAAAAATAACTAAGATCAGAGCAGAATTGAAGGAGATAGAGACATGAAAAAACCTTCAAAAAAATCAATGAATCCAGGAGCTGTGTTTTTGAAAAAATTAACAAAATAGATAGACCACTAGCTAGACTAATAAAGAAGAAAATAGAGGAGAATCAAATAGACACAATAAAAATGATAATGGGGATATCACCACGGATCCCACAGCAATAGAAACTACCATCAGAGAATACTATAACACCTCTACACAAATAAACCAGAAAATCTAGAAGAAATGGATAAATCCCTGGACACATACACCCTCCCAAGACTAAACCAGGAAGAAGTTGAATCCCTGAATAGACCAATAACAAGTTCTGAAATTGAGGCAGTAATTAATAGCCTACCACCCAAAAAATGCCCAGGACCAGATGGATTCACTGCTGAATTCTACCAGAGGTACAGAGGAGCTAATATCATTCCTTCTGAAACTATTCCAAACAATTGAAAAGGAGGGACTCCTCCGTAACTCATTTTATGATGCCAGCATCATCCTGATTCCAAAACCTGGCAGAGATACAACAAAAAAAGAAAACTTCAGGCCAAAATCCCTCATGAACATTGAAGCGAAAATCATCAATAAAATACTGGCAAACCAAATCCAGCAGCACATCAAAAAGCTTATCCACCACGATCAAGTCGGCTTCATCCCTGGGATGCAAGACTGATTCAACATATGCAAATCAATAAACATTATGTAATCATAATCACATAAACAGAATCAGTGACAAAAACTACATGATTATCTCAATAGATGCAGAAAAGGCCTTCGATAAAATTCAACATTCCTTCATGTTAACTCTCAATAAATTAGGTATTGATGGAATATATCTCAAAATAATAAGAGCTGTTTATGACAAACCCATAGCCAATATCATACTGAATGGACAAAAGCTGGAAACATTCCCTTTGAAAACTGGCACAAGACAAGGATGCTCTCTCTCACCACTCCTATTAATGATCTTTGTTCTGACTTCTGTTGAAAATGAGCAGTGAAGCAATGCATTTATTAATTAGCTTGATTAATATATATTGATCTGTACATATATATTAAAACATCATGTTGTATACCATAAATACATAAAATTTTTGTCAATTTAAAAAAATCTCATTGATTCCACTTCCAAAATACACCCTGTATCTTGTTACCTCTCAGTCATCTATCATCTACTGCCTGTAACAGCTAGACATCACTTGTGGGAAGAGCCATTGAATCCAGACTTCCAGAATTCTCCCAACCTTCACTTTTATTCCTCTGCAGTCTGTTCTCCAAGAAGAGCATGTCAGTCCTCCTCATAAAACCAGTGATTTGTATTGTCTTTATATAATACAGACTTTTTACCATGGCCAACAAGGCCCATGTGATCTGTCTTCTGCCTAACTCTCCAACTTCATCTCATACTGTTCTCTCCCTCCTTTAGTATATATTTTTGTCACTGAGTTGTGTGCTCTGAGCAGAGGCAAATCAGACACCTTCTGACTGGAGCCAATGTTCTTGTTTCCTTTGTTTGCTGTCTCTTCCCCATGTTCTCTGCATAACAGGCCTTTCAGTTCTCAACTCAGGTTGTCATTTCCTTAGAGATTGCTTCCATGATGTGTAGTTCATTCATAACACAGGTTACAATCTGTCTTGTTTATTTGCTTGTTTACTATTCATTTCCTCCAGTAGAAACCCCATGTTTCCCTCTCCTCTTATCTTTCCAGAAGTCCATCACACTACCTAGCCCATAAAAACCACATTTCACTGAAATCTAAGATGTGATCAATTGTAGGATGCAGTATTCGGTTATGCACCACCAAGAAAGTAAAAACACTGCAAATTAAACTATTGTGCAATACTAATTTCTTTTGATTATAAAAAACTTGGCTTTCGAGAAAATAAAATGTGCTTTTAAAATGCATTCTTGAATTGATGAAATACATATCTTGTTGAACACATGAAAAACTGTACTTCACTTAATCATAATTAGTTGTTTGCTAGTGATCTTTTGAGGAAAATTTTCTGAAAAAGATATGCATGTAGAGGCCAAGAGATTGCATAGGTGATGAGTAACACTATATTATGAAAAAGAGGATATTGTTAGTATGAAGAAGTATGAGTAATCGAAGGATTGTATGAGTAGCTGTTCCAAACTGCCAATTACTGGCTTGTCAACAATGATTCCAATTCTGTAGGTCTTGAGTGGGCCATGAAACTGGAATGCTCAACAGACACTTTAAGAGACTCATATCCATTGTTCCAGAAATAGATTCAGCCCTCTACAGGGGGAAGACAGAAAACAGAGATGTAAATTGCTAGAGCTGGTAGTGGGTAGGTATGGGAATATGCATCTGATTGCCTCTATGTGTTCAATAAAATATGAGGTCTTTGGTTCAGTGTAGTAGGATAGGGATTTTGGAGCCTTGAGAAAGAAGGGAAGGTAAAAAATAGTCAATGCAGAGAGTATGAAAGCAAGAGGAAGTAATATATTCTTCGGAAATTGAATAGATTTGCAGATTTGAGAAATACTGCAGTAGAAAAGAAGGTGTTTGATTGGATGTTGGATGGTATCCCGATGTGGTTGATTAACAAATACCCACTGCTGAAGGAGTATCAAGACAACCTGCCCTCTTTAGCTGCCTTGGATTGCTCTCGTCCCTAAACTGCATTCAGTTTCCATAACACCTGGCCTTTCCTGAGTGGCTGTGAAATTGCTGCTTCCATTGCTATCATTTACATAGTTAAAATAAAATAAACTCATAGGTGAAGAAGGCTGGATTCAAACACTGACCTCAGAGTAAAAAATTCAGGCTCTTAATCACAGAAATGTACTGCTTCCCAATAACAAGTGCCTCTCGAGGTGGCCCAAGTAAGCCCCTTTTCTGTGGACTTGAAAGAAACTATCTCTCACATTCTGAAAACTGCAGTTTTCTATTTAAATAGAAAAACATCCAGACTCCTAAGATGGCTTCATGCTCTGCCCTTGTGCTCTGGTCCTAGCTGGTTCATCTTTGCTTACAGCCTCATCTTTCCTTACTCACACTTTGTGGTCCAGTCTGCTGTTCATCTTTAAGAGCCGTCCCAAGGCTGTGATCTTTAAGTTCAGATGCATGTGCATTTGGGTGCTATACAAGTTGATCCAATTGGGGTATGCTAGTGCTGTGTTCTCTTTCCTCCAGGCCTTTGCCCAAGTTGTCTCTTTCATCTGCTTGAAACCCCTTCTCACTTTTGTTTGGCTAAATCCTGCTAGTCTTAAGCTCTCACTTGAATCCTCACTTCTTCCAAGAAACCTCTTCTGATCCCCCCAGGTCTGAGATTACTATACTTCTCCTGAAAACCTGTACTCACCATTTTGCATCCTGATTGCCTCTTTACTGACATGTTCCTGCAAAGCTTCAGTACCTAGCCCGTACCTGCCTCAGAATTGTGCTCCATAAATGCCTACAGAATATTAAAAGAGGAAACATTTAATCATTTTTTAATGTTTAAGTTATAAACTTCATTAAGCCAGGTTCTTAGTTGGTTACACAGGGGTTTTTATCTACACAAAAATCTCCTGAGAAGTTTTGTCTTGAGGCAGAACAAAATAATTGATTCTAAAACGTAATTTGAATTATAATAGCATCGTAACACTGTAACATGAATAATAAAATCTATTGGGACTGTGAGCAGACTCATCCAAAAAAATAGAAAAAAGTGTTTGGGCACATATTTTTAAATCCTCTCTGGGCCATGTTTTGTACAGTAGTAGCATAAAATTATGCAACAATTTATACTTTTAACAGGTCAATACTAATAAGGAGAATTATCCAAAGCCACCCTCTTTCATTTTGCTTTCAGCTTAGCTCATGTCCTTTTCTGGTATTCAATATGTCACCCCATGCATCCTTCAGCCTGCAACTTCTTAACTACCTTACCTCAAGTTTGTGCCAGATAAATAGCAATGTTAAAAGTTACTATGAATTTAGTTTTTTTTTTTAATTGCTTTTTGTAGTGATGTTTTTCTTTCCCCAAACTGCGTGGCTTTCTCCCATTCCTACCTCAGTCTTCATAGCATGCTTTTCTACTCCAAGTGCGCATGTTTTGCTTTCTGAGAATGTGAGATTCACCCAAATAAAAAAGAAAGGGTTTGGTGTTGTTTGTCATTTGGAGTTTTTAGTGCCTCCCTGTACTACATTAGGATGGACAAAAGAGATTGTAATGCCATGAATATAAAGAGTTATTGTTCACTACTTACGAAAAATACTCTAGCTACTCATTATTTCAAAGTAGTTTATTTTAATCATTTAAAAATTAGTTGTGTCCACACTTTGTGCTTTAATCTTTTATTGTAATTTTTAATGCTAAACATATCTAGTACTCCATAACACATGCTAAATGTTGCGTTTTGATGTATCCTCCCTTCTCTCCTAATCTAGCTTCGTAGTCCTTTGAATACATTAATTTTGTAAATTACCGCAGTAGCAGCCAGATTTCATAAGGATGTTTTACATTGTTGTAACTGGTTTCATTTTCTTACTTGTTCCTATGATTCTCATTATATAGGAACTACTTACTTTATGTTCTTAACACAGAAGGGTCAGAGGAAACAGTTATTTTTTGTAACAATTTTTAAACTATTAGGCATTATACATTACAAAATCTTTTGTTCTTTTAAAATAGTAAAATGTGCCCAGAGTTTAGTGCTGAAGTATTCTGCAGTGATGTTGAAAAATGTGAAACACCTTTTATTTGGCATGTTGTCTAAATGCTGCCTGACCCCGCAGTTCTTGCAGTTGGTGCATCATCTGAATGCTGTCTAACCCTGCAGTTTCCAGAAACATGAGATGATAATTTGCTTCTTTGGTGAGCCTGTGGCTTAGGTCCATTTCTTTTCACAAAAAAGAATGATCAGAGAAGACTTAAATGCCCTATAAGTCATTTCAGAAACATTACGTAGTGATTATTTTGGTATTGCCTAAAGCAGGTATCAAGGTGATTAACATTCATTATGTTATCTTAAAAATTACACACAATCCTTTATTGCGGTCATGAAATAAGTAATACTGTATACAAAAAAAAAAATGAAAGAAAATAACCAGTGACGTTTTTTTCCTTCCATCTGCTCTTCCATCATGCAGGTACAACTTGGCCAAGTAGAAATCAAATGCCCCATCACAGAGTGTTTTGAATTCTTGGAAGAAACAACTGTTGTCTATAACTTAACGCATGAAGACTCCATCAAGTATAAGTACTTCTTGGAACTTGGCCGTATTGATTCCAGCACCAAGCCATGTCCTCAGTGCAAGCACTTTACAACCTTCAAGAAAAAAGGACATATTCCCACCCCTTCCAGATCAGAAAGCAAATACAAAGTAAGCATTTTCACCAGAGCTGTGGGTTAGATGTCACATGGCAGAAGCAGCCAGATTAGATCCACTTGTCGTGGGCATTAAGGGGGCATCTTTCCTTTATGGAGCTGAAGGTGAGCATATATTGGCCATCATTCTGAAAGCATATGGTTTGGGGAGGCTGATGATAAGAGAGTGCTCTTAAGGAATTAATTACAGTTTTGTCTTTGACTTTAACCATGTTGAAAATTAATCTAGTAACCTTATAGGAAGGCTGATCTTTAGAGTAATAATAGTTACTACTACCAAATACTAAATAAATACTAAGGCTTTTTCTTTATTATTATGGACTTGATTTTTTTTTCAGTGGTCCCAATGTAAGTCTCCTCTTGTTCTGTCTATAATAGGTAAAAATAGTATAAATGGTACTCATTCATTTATTCAGCAAATACAGAATGCTGTATATGCTAGGCAGTGTGCTAAATTTGGGGGCTATAGAGCAAATGTGATACAGTCCCTGCTTCAAAAAAAGTCGAAGATGGGAGAGACATGTGTTCTAAAAATGACAGTCCAATATGATTAGAAAAAAACACAAAGCTGTGTACATATAGTGTGCTTTGAGGACACTTGAAGGAGGGTTAGGCTCTAGGATGTCAGGAATGGCTTCACAGAGGAGGTGCAGTTCTCCAGACAGATAAACCTGGTGAGCATTTCAGAGCAAGGGATGAGTAAGTGCACGGCCCCCGAGGCTAAGGCCAGGCTTCTTGTAATCAAGTGCTTCTAGAGCTGGTGGAGAGTCGGGAGAGGCAGCTGATCGGGCAGATAAGAGCAGATCATGTTGAGTCTTGTGCAGTTTGCGCAGAAGTTTGGATGTAACTCTGTAAGCATTAGAGAAATGTCATCTGGCAGCATTCATAGAAGCTATCACAAGAGGACCAGACAGAAGTCTGGTTTGAAACCAAGGCAACAACTGTGACAGCAGAGCATTGATTCACAGCCCTGATTGTATATTAGAATCACCCGAGAACTTCCATGACACACCAGTGCCCCAGGCCCACCCCAGAACAATTGTCTTCCAAATTTTTGAGCCTCACCAGGTGACTAATCCACAGTAGAGAATCTTTGCAGTAAATGAAGCAGAAAACCAGTGAGGCTGTGGCAGTAGTTTTCATCCTTGTCATTACAGCAAAATGGCAGGATGAAGTGGTTTCAAAGGCTGTTTGGAGTCATCTCCATTTAAGGTAAGTTTCTGGTCATGTTCCCTTTCTTGAGAGCAGCAGTTACATTATTCATTTTGTAGCTTTGAGGGGACCATGGTTTAGCAGGTAGTTTCCTCTGCTGTTGCAGTTATAAGCTACAGTATTGTAGGTTAGTCAAAGCTTCTTCATGAGTCGTTGTTCTTTGAAACTGCTTGGCTCTCATAGTTAATTTATTTACTGTTTTTATGCAGGCCATTCTCTATCAGGTATAACTGTTAGAAAAAAATCCTATTTTTCTCTTCTATAAAAAGCATTATTTTTGAGGTTACAAAAATTGTATAACTAAAGTACTGCCCTACAGTGGTGTTGAAGGCTAACTGAACATTAATAGAATACTTTTATTTCATGCTATATATCCTTAGATTATTTTTAAGTTATTTTCATTGCAATTGTATGTTATTGTATAAGATCAGGAAATTACTAGTTTTAGAAGGACTCGTAATTCCATAAATTAGGATATTCAATTTTTTTCTAATATATGTTTGGACTTAGATACATAGAAACTGAGACTATACTAATTTTTAAAATTGCAGTAATTAAAACATGTACAAAATTGAATTAGAGTGGGAATAACTGAGTAACTTTTAAATGTGTTGTTTTTATGAAATGGGTAAAGGAGTTATAATTTAAGTCACAATTATGGCAATAGTGAAATGTTTTACGTCTCATTTCATCTGAAATCACCAAAATCATGTTGTGATGAGCATAATGTATCACAATACACATGTATTGAGAGTGAAATATGTAAAAATTGACAAATAGAAGATTCTATATTTGTGTAATTTTGAGCGAGCCCATGGTATTCTGATAACATTTCCCAGAGGTCAGGCTTCTCCAATGTCTATCAATTTGTTGTAGGTAAGAAGAGAAGCAGGGGCAAATGGACCAACATCTTAAATTTATTAAACTCAATTGATTCCTTTTGATTAGTAGAGGAAAAGAAAATTTGCTTTGGTGTGAGGAGGAATTCAACAACACAATAAATGTTGATTATGAAGCAGTTAAGATCCTCAGATCAACATCTTAAATTTATTAAACTCAATTGATTCCTTTTGATTAGTAGAGGAAAAGAAAATTTGCTTTGGTGTGAGGAGGAATTCAACAACACCATAAATGTTGATTATGAAGCAGTTAAGATCCTCAGCGGTGGGTGTGGGGTGGAAATCTCATTACACTATAAAATGAAACTTAAGCAAATTTCAAAAGAGTAAAACTACCACAGAATTTGAGGATGATTATTTTTGTTACTCTTCTTTACTAGTGTAGAAGAGAAGATCGATAACAGAAGAAGTTAATAATCTCCTTGATCTATGCTGTACAAAGTTCTAGCAATGATTCAAATAATTCCTGAAGCAATAATTTTTACTTATTTTAGTGTAAAGTTTATATAACATTTTTCATCATTAAACTCTGTGGTTTATGTTAACATTAACTACCTGGTTTACATGCCCATACCTGTCTGGGTATTATAGGTAAGGAGAGCACTGACATGGATACCCCAGCCAACCAATCGTGAGATTCATGGCCACAGTATGGCACCCTGTACTGAGACTAAGATCTTTGTTCTTTGTGATGAACAGGTGAACATTTTTTATTTTGCAGTATTTTTAAAAATTCAGTTTCCCTAATAAAATAAGGTAGTTCCAAATTGGTGTCATTTATGGTAACTTTAAGAGGAGTGAATTCAAGTACTCACACACAATACATTGCATCATGAGGCAACAGAAATAGAAAAAAAAAGGTTGCTGCTAATGTCTGACGTTTCTGTGCAATTTAACGTCTCTTTATAATAATGTTTACAGGCTTAAGTAGGTTTGTATCTACTGATAAAACCCTTGTAATGTTTATTTTAATGTTATTCTGAGTCATTGATTCACAGTATCTTCATCCAAGATGTCATTCTTTGAACATTTATTATGGCTTTTGCTGTCAATTCAACTGTTTGAAAATATTATAGCTATTTTATAGCTGAGTAAGTGCTTCTCACATGAAGTTTGAGACCTAAAATATCATATATGGGGGTTTTAATTTTTGTGAAGACCACTTGTTAAATTGTTTGTACTCAGCAGGTGGATAAAGGGTAAAAAGAATATAAGAATAAGCAGTAACTAGAACTCTTACCTGTCCATTTGTCCTTCCAGGCCCAACACCCAACAATTCCCTTCTGGCAAAAATCTGAGTAAATAGAGCTTTATATTATGTTCTGAACATCGTCAAACTCATACTATATCAAATAGAACAAGTGCATTCGTGAATTGAGAGATTTACATTCAGACAACCTTGCCTTTTGTCAAATCCAGTCTCACTTTTTCATCCATAGTATTTCTGTCTTCTTCTCCCTAAAACTCTTGTCATGATGCCAGAAAGGCTTACCGTTCCATTTCTACAAGGTTGACGTCAGCTTCCAACTAGAAATCTAATTTCTAACCTGAATAGTTCCTGTAATTTATCAGTGCAACAGCAACCGCTTATCAATATAGAGAACAAGTTAATGATGGAGAAATAAAAAAATGTTGAAGTTTTGACTAATGTCCTTATGTTATGCCTGGAGATAGACACATCACCCACACCCAAAGCTTTTCACCATAGCAATTATCACCTGGGATTTTATGATATATATGTGTGGTTATTTGCCTTAAGTTTCTCTTTCTAACTGGTCTCTGGGAGTCCAGGTCCAAGTTTACTTCATTTACTGCTGATAACCTGTGTCAAGCCTATGTCTGATAGAGGGTGCACTCAAAATATATTTGTTGAAGGATTCATTTAAGAGTAAACACATTAAGCCTTGAGGTGTTGGATTTACCAAGGTTGAAAAGGCAGGTCAGAGCACTGCTTTCACACTGGAATTAAACTCTCAGCCTGTCACACACTAGCTCTGTCACCTTGAGTATCGTTTCCACGTCTTTAACTGGGGATAGTAATAGTACCTATGTCATAAGAATGTAGTAAGAATTAAATGAAATCACACATATAAATTACTTAGCACCACATATGACACATACTGGAAAGTATTATGATTGTTATTATTATTAGGCAAAGAGAGCAGAATGAGCAACCCTGGGTATTGAGAAGGGCATGGGGGAGTAAAAAAGAATATAGTTGAAAGAAAACATGGGGTGAGTGGTGGACAATGGGCAGAAAGGAGGGGTAAAATTGACTATGTCTGGAAGAGGAGGAGCAGGTTTGGGAAATGGAAAATTAGTTCAGTTTGAAATATGTTGATAGTGTTAAGTTTGAAGACCCTTTAGGGCATCAAAGAGATGTCCAGAAAACATGACTCAGGAGTGATTTGGTGGAAGTCATCAATATTGGGGGCAGTGAAGGGGATTGTCATTGAACTTACGAAAATGAAAAAAATATTCTTTGGGAGGTAGAGGAGGTGATAGCAGTTCTTTATGGAAGAGAGGAGAGATGTGTAAAGGATTAAAAGTAGTTATTTTACTCATACAGGTTTTACTGAGGTAGGTGCAATTCTGGGTTTCATTCTTATTCCAAGTGCAGACTGAATAAATGATCCCCCTTTTCATATCGATTTGGAGAAAGAGTTGAAGGTCATGCTTATCAACATGTTAGAGAACACGTTAGAGGTAATTCTTTTGATGGTTTTCTTCAGACAAGACTAATAATCCCCATTCTTCTTCCCACAAATGTTAAGCAGAATCTTGATAATTTATACAATGGCACTTTTGATGCATCTTTCACCCCAGGTGAAAGAAAAAAGCCAATAAAATTCCCTGGAGAAACTCTGTCTGTGTGCTTACCTTATCTCTCTAGCTGTCTTTTTTTCTTTCTTATAAACCCTCTGAGTAGAAATTACATTTTATAAACACTACACAAATATTTTCTCATGTGGTAAAAGAATTTTCTAAGGGCTTTAAGAATACAGTCAAATCAATCGGTTGTTGCGAACTGGTGTACTTTAAAACGTGCTTAACCTTCCTCCTGGTAAAGATAACTTGAGAACTGTTTCCCATATATAAGAATGTGTAAAGCTTTCCCATGAACGTGTAATGAGTATGCTGCTTTGTTCTGGTTTTCCCTGACACCATCACTTTAAGTTGACAGTGTTTACAAATGGAGAATCTAGTTGTGCGTCTTCCCTGCAAGGTTAGGGTAGCTTACAACACACACTGATTTCTCTTGGGATTAATGTATCACTCATGTCAGGAGCCCATAGAAAAAAAGTGTAGTTTCTTAAATGGTTGTTGTTGGCATAGATTTATGAGACAGTTAAAGTCGTCTAGCCCTGTTGATAGACGCCAGTGTAAACAAAGTGTGTGTTACATACATTACCCTTGAAAAAACATATAACACTCAGCTATGATGCAAGCCTACTAAATTATGTTAGCATTTCTTTCTTCAGTTACTAATGGAGTGTTTTGCTAAGGCTGTTCTTTGTTTGCTTTTTTGATGCATAAATTAGACACAATATTTTTAGAGGTTTTTAACTTGTGCTTGAACTTCTAACAGCCAAATGTTGGAATTTATCTGATATTTTAGCCTACACTTCACCTAAAAAAACAAACTATAGTAATAATCAAATCTTGCAGCTAGGATAAATTGACCTGCACTGGTACTAAGAACTGTTTTCCCTTTATCCTATTGTCATTGGGTCTTTAGCACAATGAACAAGTGAAGAATCGTCTCTCTCTGATGGCCCCCGAGATCGTGTGTTAAAGTAGGCCAAGTGTGGTGTTCCTTATAAAATGGTCTGGAAGATATTCTGAAAGAAGTGAAGTGAAGACCTTACATTTCTTATCTACCACCCTCTGTGCTACTACCTTTCCATATTTACTTACTTAGATTTGTAAGAGAATCTACTGGGGCTGTCTACACAGTGCACGGATCCCCTCTACAATATGCCTACCAGTTGGCCATGCAGACTCTGAACACTGCTTTTGTTAAGGAACTTGTTAATAGAATCATTCCTTTCCATTTTCAAAAACCTCAGATTTGAAATAATTCATTGTTACCTTTAGGCTGAGGTATGCTTCCCTCCTGCCTTCACTTATTGGTCACAGAGAATATTCCCATTTCCTTATGTACACTTAACACAGTGGACCTCTTGCTACTTTATGTGGGTACCTCTTGTGAGCTGTTATCCTGATTCTGTTGTGTTCAGAACAGGACATCTTGTTCAAAACAGGATGATACCACATTTTTCTGGCCAGGACTTTGGGCTATGCAAATCAGGGAAGAATTTTCCAGTACCCTTTGTGTTCACCAGTGAAGAAATGGGTCCTCGGACAAGAAATAGACCCAGACAAATGCTTCTCTGGGCTTTGCTCTCTGGATTTACAGGAAGAGTCTGTAAATGCTGAAGGTGTTTCCAGGTGGTAGGAGCAAGATGGACTGATATGAAATAGTGATTTTCAAATTAGGGAGAGAGTACTTTTTCAAACAACCCCCATTCTCAAGTTCAGACATGCTGTCCAAGAAAAGTATGAGTCCAGCTTGAACATAAAAGCTAGTATTGAGGTGAATGCATTGTGCAATAAATAATTGTGTTGCATATGTAAAAGGAAACCAATGTTGAGGGAGTTCAGTAAGGTTATTTATATAAATAAGCACCATATCTCAATATAGCTTACCTTGTCATGCGTTTTGTGTGTGTGTGTGTGTGTGTGTGTGTGTGTGTGTGGTTTTATTTGTTTTGTTTTGTTTTGTTTTGTTTTGGTCTGCTGTTGGTCCTCAGCCTTTAGGAAAGTTTCTCTTTCCCTTTCCAGCTTAGTTTTAGCTGTGCTGTGAGAAACTAAGGCAAGGATCACTTGGCCACATTTGGACTGTTTTCAAGGGTGCAGTGCCTCATGAAGACTGTATGTTACTGGCATTTCCATGCAGGGAAGAGATCCCCAAGTAGGCAGTGAAATATCAGGGAGTAAGATTAAAGACAAGAAGTCAAAATATGTTTTCCCATATGGAGAATTTCTTTCCATTGCCACCATCTGACTTTAGGATTTGATGTTATAAGGGAGCAAACAGTGCTTCCTTGAAAGTATTTGAAGCCATTCATCAAGACTCATTTTCTCCTCTCTATAACATGCTGTACCTCTCCACATCTCATCTTCAAGAAAAGCATCTTCAGTTTTTAAAACATTTTTATAACTACAAGATTTCCCAATTATTTACCATTTTGGTTAGTTTCTTTAGGACATACCCGAATCTGACAGCCATGATTTTTACATGTTTCCTATGCAGAGTTTCTGGACCATGGTATATTTTGGGGGACATGCCAGGATTATAGGAACTTACTGGCTCCATTTATTGTACACTTAGCAAGGATCAGGGTTGAGCTAGCTGAAGTGACATCTCTGTTCAGGCTACATTAGAACACTTGCTGTTTCCCCAATATATCATGTGCTCTTGGGCCTCTGTGTGGTGGCTCAGGATGGACCCTCTATTCAAAGTGTTACCTCATCACTTGTCCCTGTAACATTCTACTCATTGTTGAAGGCCACATTCTCTCTGAACGCTTATGTTCCAGCTTCACTGAAGCCTCTTTCCATGGCACTCACTTGTCCCAGCTTCTATTCTGGCAGTTACTATATGCCTTTATAGCTCTTTTGGTTTATATCTGTCAGACCCCAGTAAGTTCCTTAAGGACAAGTATTTTCATTTTTTTCTGCCTACAATCAACATAAGCAGTTCCTGCTACTTGAAGGTGCCCAATAAATATGTGTTGGATGGGAAAATGAATTGATACATGTGCTTCATTATTGAGAATCTGAACCTGAGGTTCTAGTAAAGCAAATCCTTTTTGGAAAACTGAATCAGCTCTTATATTTGCAGTGCTACTTTACACATGGATGTTGTCTAATATTTTGAATTTGATAAGTAATGATTTTGTGATTTATTTAAAATAATGATGTGTATAGGGGTATCTAGAATTTAGGCAGGAAAATAATGATCTGGGGTTTTCTTTAGTTTTAGACACTGTTTTTATTTTGTGGGTTGTTTCCTTACTCGACTTGATGAATTATCAGGAGAAAATGCCATTTTCTTAGGGCAGGTGAGTCGGCGTACTTTCATCTCAGTATAGCACAGATTTCTGGTAAAACTAAGGGTATTCAAAAGTCAAAAATCTAATGTAAGGTTCTTTTATCTTTTGTGAGTTCTGGAGAAAGCTAATTAAGATTCTTAGCTCTGATAACTTTATTCTTGAAGCACTTGAAGCCCTGCTTGCCTCTTTTAGAAGAGTTTGTGCGTTGATCATAGTGCTTAGTAAAAGTTCATTAGGACAATGTATTTAGTAAACATCATCTGATAATATAGGAATTAGTAATACTACCTCAGCCACTAGTCATAAATTAGATATGTTGGTTTTTCTTTGAATTCATTTAATGTTAACTGATACGTGATACCTAAACTGTGTGTAAAATCATTCATTTTACATGAGACAAAGCCTTTGACAAACACAGTTCACTGAGGAGTGAACTTGTGGGCTGTTGGAGAGATTAGACATCTACATCCCTAATGGAAGTTCCATAAGAAAGGTACTGAATCTGGTTGCAAGAAATAGGGAAGACATCTTGAAGAAAGGAGCATTTGATCAAGATAAGATTTTAATAGGTTTAATCCACTGGACTCTTCCAGTTACCAGAAGCAGAAATGTACTGTTTCTTGGGCTACCTCAATTAGTGAGGTTTAGTCTAAGGCTCCATGGGGAGCAGGAAGGGCAGGAAAATACTCTCTGCAGCTGCCCAGGCAGGCCTCATAGAGAATCAGACACAAGCTCTGGTAGTGTGAGAGCCCTTCTGTCATCTCACCAGAAGTCAATGTCTGTGTCCTTCTCCAGTGGTCTGCATTGTAGTCATTTAGCTCTTCTCTGTCTTTGCCTCCATGAAGGCATCCTTTGTATCTCTATGACACTCCTCAAGAGAGAAAAATCTATCTTGGCTAATTTCCATTCAACAATGAGCACCCATGCTACACAAAGCTCATGCCACCGCTTAGGCAGCTTGCCAACTAGTGGATACATGTTTTTGGCTTAGGGACTCATTCCTGGTCCAATAAATTGTGGCCTGGGCGATGCAGTCACATGGTATAGAGCAGTGCCTCTCAAACTTTAGGATGCATACAAATCACCTTCGGACCTTGTGAAAATGTGCACTTTTGGCTCTGAGGTCTAAGGATTCATGAATTCTGTGTTTCCAACAAGTTCTCAGGTGATGCTGATGTTTCTGGCCCTGCAACCACACTTTGAGCCACAAGGACAGGGCATGATGATTTCTGTGTGACTGTAATTACTAAGAAGGCAGGCACTCCATGTGGTGGGTATGTGGTTGTGAGATAGCATTTCATGTGGAAGAATAACTGTAAATAAAAGAGTGGAGGAAGATGCAGTGTTGATGTCTGTATGTGTTTGCGTAAGGCCAATTTTGAATATGGTTAAGTTCAAAATGAATGAGGCATCTTCAGAACAAAAAATCTGGGACAATTTCAGATGTAGTCTTTTAATACCAAAGTTGTTGGAGTTGGCTATTAGTCCTTTTATGGTTTTAATCCAAAGCAAATAAAGAGTGATTCTGATGTTTTCAGTGAGAGATAGTAAGCAATCCAGTATGAGTTTAACTTATTTGTATTCACTTGAGAGACTGCCCCATAACTCTGGTCACAGTTTCCCACTAAGTCTGTGCTGTTGGTGAGGATTTGCAATAGGATCTGCAGTAGGACTTGGTTGTTTATTATGAGCCAGAGTCCCTGGTTTGGACACAAAGCGTCAGATTCTTTATTATTCTGATGCCTTAGGAGAATCATGCATTGCTATAATTGTCTTCATTAGAGATTCACAAATGTGATAGTTCAGCACTTAATCACAAAGATCTTTGAGTCATTAAATGTCTGACATTTATAGAGCGAATCCGAGTTTCAAAGCATCTTTACATTCATTCTAATATTTCATAAATATAATCTAAGACTGATTAAAAACTAGAGAGATCTTTTCAAAAAGTTCATTTAATGATGCTAGAATCTAGTGATTCAGAATTATGAATAATGTCCAATAGAAGATAACCGAATTAACTTTTCAGGTGTTCTGACTTAATGTTAGATGCATAAGGAAAAGCAATTTTTTTCCTTCTTTCCTCATTTCATTCATTATATTGGAAAGGAAGGCTCCATGTGATATTTACATCTAGTCTTCATTGCTCAATGGCAAATGGAAGTAAACATTTTATATTGTTTTCTTAGCTGAATCTCATCTACTTCAACTTGTTTTCTTTTAAAAATGATTTATTTTAATTGTAATGATCAAAAAGGAAAACAGTTATTTTAAATAACTAAAGAGTAACATCCTTTTTTTCTTTTTTCATTTTTTTACTTAAACCAAGTAGTTTCTCAATTTATATAAGTAGATCTTGAAAAGAATTTTCAAAGTTCACCTTATCTTGGTAATCATGTGGAATTCTGACTTATTGAATAGTTTAATGATATGACCATCTTTGACTACTACATTTTAAGTTGTCAATTGTCAAAGAACAAATGCCGTTTAGTATAAGACTATAGTGAAAATTATGCTAAACTTGGAGCCAGACAAACTTACGTTTAAATTCCTTCTTAACACATATGTGCTGTGTTACCTTCAGCAAGTTATTTAATCTATCTGAGTCTCATTTCCATCATCTGTAAACTGATGATGTTCATATCTACCTTCCAGCATTATTTTGAGGATGAAAATAAATAATGCATGTAATATATTCAACATAGACATTATCATTGAACAGAATTTTAATAAATAAATAAACGTGAAAATCTTTTAAGCCTTATGACAGAATACCATTTTTATATAAAGTTAATAACAAAAGTACTTTTACTTCATAGTTGCACAAGAGGAGCATTATCCATTCTTGACATAAGTGAAAATTACAGTGCTTTGAGTTATTAACAGAAGAGCTGTGATTGTAATTGCCACTCAGCTAATTAGTCTATATAGTAGAACCTCCATTGTCAAAAAAGTTGTTTTCCAAAAAGGAAATTCTAACTAACCTTTAAAATGTAGTCAGTGAATTCACACATGCTGCAGTGACGTGACATAGAGGAGCAAAGAGAGTGGTCAGTTATAAATATCATTCATAATGAGACATTTTATTAATCCATTGTAATCACATGGGGCTCTGTAAGTCAGGTTATACCCATATGCTTTTAGAGAGTTAGGAGTGGAAATAATGTGTATGAGTGGAATATTCCACTATCATTCAAAATAAAGGAAGTCAGATAAAATATCCTCCATGTCAAGTGGAAGACAGATATTCATATTAAACTTACACGTGCACTGTCATATACCCCTCCACATAGTGAAATATGAAGGCCCGTTTCTGACGGTTTTCTAAGTACAGGCCACAGGGCCACTATATTGATATATTTCTAATAATAGAATGCTTTGCATTGTTTTTATAATTAGCCTGCCTTACGTTGGTAGCAAACCAGGAGTATCCATTATTTTAAATGCTGCTTCATAGCAAATGCTGTTCTAGCAGTTTGTTTGTTACTGTGTTTTTATTGTTGTTGTTGTTGTTTTGAGATGGTCTCTCTCTGTCGCCCATGCTGGAGTGCAGTGGCACAATCTCGGCTCGACTGCAACCTCCGCCTCCTGGGTTCAAGTGATTGTCATGTCTCGTGTCATCCTCCTGAGTAGCTGGGATTACAAGCATGCACCAACATGCCCACCTAATTTTTATATTTTTCGTAGAGATGGGGTTTCACCATGTTGGCCAGGCTGGGCTTTAACTCCTGACCTCAAGTGATCTAGCCGCCTCAGCCTCCCAAAGTGCTAGGATTACAGGCATAAGCCACCACACCCAGACTGCTACTGTGTTTTTTATTTGATGAAGCATCTGTGGGGCTTTTTAAAAATAAAATGAAATAAGCCATTCTTAAGAAGACAATGGAAATGGCTGGGTAATTCGTTCAAAGGAAAGGTGAATTAAAGGGCAGCCTGAGTGTGTGGATTTGGGGCCTTGTGAGCCTTCAGGTTCAATCTGGGAGACTGCACTTAAATCTGGGAGATTTTCTTAAAGCTAAATTGGTTTCCAGAACCAAATGTTTAACTCCAGTACAGCCTACAAATAGCCAAGTCATCCTTGCCAAAGCAATTCTTTCCTGTAGTAACAGAGTATTCATATCTTCCTGTAGTTTGAGTCTTATAGAGGGGGAGGTATTTTAAATTATAAACTTTTAGCTAATTTCCCCAAGCATCACCTTCTTATCCTTTTAGACACTTTCAGTATATCCACTAGTAATTAATATGATTTTTTTCTTACACAGATCCAGTGCCCTACCTGCCAATTCGTCTGGTGTTTTAAGTGCCACTCTCCTTGGCATGAAGGTGTTAACTGCAAGGAGTACAAAAAAGGAGACAAATTGTTGCGTCACTGGGCCAGCGAAATTGAGCATGGGCAGAGGAATGCCCAGAAGTGTCCAAAGTGCAAGGTGAGATAACTTTTAGGAGGAAAAGAAAAAACATGTACATCTGGATGTGACTGAACAATATTTACATTATTGAAGGGAATTATAACTGTCTTAATGCAGGTATGTGGAAAAAGAGTATTGCTCTTTTATTTTGGAAAAGTAATTATATAATTAAACTGAAAATTTTTATAAACCATGTATATTCTTATTTTTGCATTACTCTTCAAAATTTAAGGAGGCCACATATAAATATTGACTTAAGACATTGAGGTCCTTATATTACATTTAAAAATGAGGATGTACTTTATAGGAAAAATATAGCGTAAAAGTGATATAAAAGTATAAGTTCTAGTCTGCCACGTGTACTATAATTACTTCTCAATTATATAGGCTTTGAATCCTTGCGATCTTTTGCTTTTCTTTCCTTGCTGACATTGCTGATCACTTAAAAATTACATTAAATTGAACTGATTGTTTTGCTTTTTTGCAAATCTGGTAAAGTAAAAGCTCATAGCTAAAATCAGGACTTAGGGATTTTATGAATCCCACTTTTCATCTTTCTTTTGATAATCATGCAAGTAATCAAGAACTAGCAGGCAATTTGAGCTCAGACCTAGATGTGTTGAAAGTTAGCCAAGCAAACAGCCAGGGAAGACTCTCCTACGGGAGGTCAGCCAGTAAATTCAACCAGAAAACTTTGGACTTGATGTCTATAGTATAGGGATCTGTTGAAGTTTGAAAGTTTTAAAAAATCTTACTGTAGAAAATCATGTGTGTGTACCCTTTGCCTTATGTGGTTCCTACCCTTTGCCAAATTTATTTTTGGAAATAATCTCTAAATTGGCCTAATTATCTTTTAAGCACAATTCTGCAATTACTTCTTGGAGACTTAGCACCAGATAAATGAAACTTGAATTGCCAGAAAATGTTTAAAATTTAAAAATTATGAATACAATTGGAAGTAAAAGTATATTCTAAGCCTATAAATGAGCATAATAATAATAAATGTACAGATTTACTATACCAAATTCACATACTGGTTTATAAATATAGTAAGGAAAAGTATTGTATGAAATAACGTGTTGCATTTTTAGCAATTGGAAGAAATTTTTGAAATAGTTTAGATGACCTGGCTTTCTAATAGAAGTGATGTCTAAAGATATTTGGCCTAAAGTTTTCTTTGTTTTCCTTGTAGAAGGCAAATTCATCCACAGTCACCCATTTTGTTTTAGAGCTATTTCAGATCACTGCATCGGTTGCTCAGTATACTTATTTTTCATTCCATTAAAGAACAACTAGAAAATGAGGCCTTCCCCCCTTTCTCTTGCCTTTTTAGTTTATTCAAAGCTACTGCTCAGTTTCAAACAAAACAAAGACCAGTAGGAACTTAGAGTGCTGTTAAGTTATTCTACTTAACAGTTATTCATAAGTGCATTTTATATCCTTTGGAAAGCTGTAAAAACAATTCCAAGTTAGCCTGGTTCTACAACTGGATTTGGAATGAGCACCACTGCAGCATTATACGTTGGGGAAATTCTGAATAAACTGATGTAACACAAAATACATACATTTGTTACTGTAATCTCTTAACCCAACCTTAAATGGACTATAATGTAAAGGAAGAAAAAGAAGCCGACCATGGGGAATTTACTGAATGTTCTAACAACTTTCCACAGTTGTAACAAATGTAGATAAACTGTTAAGAGAAAGCATAAATGCTGGTTCCCCTTTGAAGTAATAGCTAAAAGGTCAGGGCTTTAAAAGGGATTACCTTTTAAATAGCTGAAAGGAAAAGAACCATGGAATCAGTGGACATTATTACATTGTAGCAGAGAGCCTACTTTCTGGTGGGATTTGGGTTCTGTGAAGTTTCTGTCTGTTTAAGTCATATTTTATGATGTGTTTGGAGTATAAATGGTTTCATTTTTCTTTCTCTTTTAAGCATGACTTTAAAACTTTACCTTTTTTCTTGGACCCTAAAATTATGTTTTGCCCCATGGAACATTTCTATTATTACAACAGAAACCTATGAGGAGATATTACTGAGTGAATTAATATTTGTTTTATACTGTAAGGCTTTCTTTTCATAAATATATCTTTTACCATTTATAAATATAAAATAGGAAGATGGTAGGAATTTGAGTAAAAGAAATGAAGAATTTCTCACATAATGCCTCCAGGTAAACAATTATCACATATTTTCATATAAATGCTTTCAATCATGATAACTAAATGTATTTAAAATTTTGTTAGGAAAGTATATATGTGTATACACACACACACACACACACACACATATATATTTGTACCCTACTATAGGTATATGTTTTAATTAGTTCATAATTTTAGTAAATATTGTTATTTATTTATTTATTTTGAGACAGAGTCTTGCTCTGTTTCCCAGCCTGGAGTATAATGGCACGATCTCGGCTCACTGCAACCTTCGCCTCCCAGGCTCAAGCAATTCTCATGCCTCAGCCTCCCAAGTAGCTGGGATTACAGGCATGAGCCACCATGCCTGAGTAATTTTTGTTTCTTCAGTAGAGACGGGGTTTCACCATGTTGGCCAGGTTGGTCTCAAACTCCTGACCTCAAGTGGTCCACCCGCCTCAGCCTCCCAAAGTGCTGGAATTACAGGTATGAGCCACCACGCCAAACCATATTTTGATTTCCAAATGATTTGTTTATCAAGGTGATATAACATCAGATAGAAATTTGGAAAAGAGAGGGAAAATATTCACCCAGAATTCTGCCGCCCCAGTGTACTTACTCCTAACATCTTATTGTGTGCCCTTGGTCTTTCACCCTATTTAAATGGCTTTTTAAAAAGTTTTAGTTGTGATGTTCAAATAATTTAATATCATTACTATTTTCACCTAACATTGCAAACATTTCTCATATTACTGAGTAGTTTTCAAAACATTTATTTCATTAACCATGAACTGTGTAACACTTGCTTAAATATTCCTCCACTATTGGATACCAAGGCTTGCTTGGTTTGTTCTGGGATTTAAAAAATTGTGTATTATAAATAATGTGTTGATGATATTCATCTAGAATTTTTTTTCCATATTTTATACCTTTGAAAGCATATATTTATAAAGGTAGAATGACTGGGTTAAAGAATACCTAAGTTTTTAGTATTTAGCACATATTGGCAATTTGCTTTCTAAAAGGAATGAATCAATTTATAATTCCACCTAGAAAGTTTGAGGACCTGTTTCAGTATGAGCATTTGTTGGCATTTTAAGTATTTTTTAAATATTAATTTAATAATTTTAAAATATTTTTTCTTGTATTTTATATTTTCCTGTTTGCTTGTAAACTGAATATAAATTCATGTATTTTTGAGTTTGTAATGCCCCCTTTTAAAATTTTCTGTTCATACCCTTTGCCCATTTATGTGGGACAGATTGGGGCATATTTTTATTATCAAATTTTATGAGCTCTTTATTTAGATATTTAAACTCCACTTCTGGCATTATTGTCTCCACATTTTCCCTGTTTTCTATTTCTTCCTTTTTATTTGAGTGGTAGGTTTTCGTTTTTTTTTAAATTAATTGATTTGCATATGTATTGTTTAGTTTTTTTATTTTTGTTTTACTAAATATGTTATTCTCTTTCTTTGTGGTCAAATACACAAGCACATATGTCGTATGAACACATATTTTTATATATTTACATATCTTTGTATATCTTTTGTAAATATGTTGCTTCTGAGTTTAAAAAGTCATTCAGAAGTTTGATTAAAAGTTCAATTTTCTTTCTTTATTTGATTTTTTAATATTTTAACTCTTTAATCCAACCATAATTTATTTTAGTGCTTATTATGCATTGGGTACCTGAAGTAATATTTTTTCCAAATTGAAACCATCTAACCCAATTGTGTTTATGGGATGACTTTCCCCTCATCAATTGATTTGTAATTTCTCTCTAAATTATATCTTAAATTACAATATCTTAAATTATAATACATAATAGTCTCTTTTCTTGCTGCTGATTTTTAAAGAAAATTCTGTACTTACACTGGTGAGTTTTAAACGATTATGCCTTTGTTAAATTTGCTAATCTAAGCAAGGTTTGATAATCTATTAATTCATTATTTTAATTAGTATTCTAAATGAAACAAAATTTTATCTTATTTATGTATTAAGCATTACTTCTCTCTTAGTGAGTTTTTACCTTTTTCTCAAATGGATAGACCAATTTAATACATGATATAGTATTATGAAGAGATTTGACTTGTGCTTAGAAATCAAAATTTTTATTTATAATTGTATTTTGGCAGGTAATCAGGATGAACATTAAAATTTTTTTCCTCATGATCAAGATACTTACTTACAAGTATGATTTTTATAGTACGATAAAAATATACAAACATATCTAGAATTAATTTATAGAATATTTTTATGAAAACATAACCCACCACATTAAGGTCAACTTTACTTAGCCATTTTTATTTGAATCTTATTGTTCCTTTTGTTTGTTTGTTTGTTTTTGTTTTTTTTGAGATGGAGTCTCACTCTTTTCACCCGGGATGGAGTGCAGTGGTGCTATCTCGGCTCACTGCAACCTTCGTCTCCCGGGCTCAAGAGATTCTCCTGCGTCAGTCTCCCAAGTAGCTGGGATTACAGGTGCCCACCACCATGCCCGGCTAATTTTTGTATTTTTAGTAGAGACGAGGTTTCACCACGTTGACCAGCTTATCTCGAACTCCTGATCTCAGGTGATCCGCCCACCTCAGCCTCCCAAAGTGTTGGATTACAGGCGTGAGCCACTGCCTCATTGCTTCTTAATGCAAAGTATTTTTCAGTCACTTATGAAACACCATTTTTTATCTTAACAATGAGTTTTCTATTTAATGTAAATTCTTAACCTATGGAAAATATGTGCTAATTTTGAAATGTCTTCTTTAGTTATCTTAGTTATCACAAAAATAAATCTAGTTTGTAGACTTAGTCATTACAAAACCAAGTCTAGTTCGTAATAGTTTTAATATTAAATTTAAAGCAAGTAGGCAATCTAAATTTTGTTGGAGGTATCAGAATATTTGTTCAATGTCATGCAAAAATTCATTTTAGACTGTTTTATACCACAGATTAGATACTAAAGTCTGAGTTAAGAAGAAAAGTTTCTAAGTCAAAAATTAAAAGTGAGATGCATGCTAAAAATAACAAACACAGGATTATACGTTATAAAAGCAAATAAACAGTTAATGAGCACTGTCACACATACACTAAATTGTAATTTATTTTATTCTAAGGTCAACATATTCATTATTTCTAGATGACAGGAAGTTACTTTTATGTTTTTAAAAGAAAGATCAAATGTGCATAGTCATTTCTGGATTCTGATACGCCATCTCTATACAAAGTACCTTTGTCCGGTGCTCTTTGTTTGTGGTGTTATCACAGTAATAATAACACTAACATGTACTGACATTTATTGCATGTCAGTCTCCTCTGTAGTTACTATAAATATATTGTCTCATCCAAACTTCAGATGTGATACTAAGATTCTGATTTTCAGTGTACCACTCAGATCATCACTATTAAGTGATTTGATAAAACTTTAAGGTTTTGCACAATAATTATAACATAACAGGATTGGTAGTATGTAAGTTTCATTTGTTGTCTCAATTCTCAAAAGAAAGTTGTAAACAAGAGGTAATTACCACCATTTCAAGATGCAGAACCAGTTTCAGAGAGTTTAAGTAATGACCAAAAAAGCAAGCAGAAAAAAAGTGAATTGTATTTATTCATAATTTATTATAAATTTGGAATTAGAGGGATTTACTTGTCATGATATTTCCCTTTAGATATTTTATTCTCTTCAATCCTATAATAGAATGCTTTGGGCAAGAATGTATTGATTCAAAGAAAATGAATAATCTTCCCCTGTTCACATAAGGTCAACACAAAAGCTATTTTTTTGGTCTTTTATATCTGTGGCTATGTAACTTGCAGTTGCTGAAATAAGAATCCGAAGTATTAATGTTGCATCTTATAGGTATCCTGCAATTCCTTAGTACTTCATATATCACTACAAAAGCACATTCAGAGGCTGACTACTTTCAAATAATGCACATTCAGAGGCTGACTACTTTCAAATAATGCCCATTCAGGATAAAATAGCTTTTCCCTAACTACTGATAAACCATTTTTAACTCTCCAGATTGCTTAAAATCACTAAATCTGGAGCAGGGGTTATCATTGGCACTGTTTTTATGGTATGCCAAGCTCTAGACCTTAGTTGTTAGAAGCATGATTGTTTGACGGCACATACTTTGGAGGATATTAACTACATTGTATCCAATGCCCTGTTTTTATGACAAGTAATGTTAGTACTTGCTTACGGTCCTGAGATTAAATATAATGTGACTACCTATAATATTTTATTTTAAAAATCAATATGTTGTCTTAGTTATAAAATAGAAATAAGTGAAAATATTGTAATGAAATAATGCATATTTTAACATGTAAATACTCAGATATCATCAAATTTTATGGTTCCTAAAATGAAGAAGTAAAAGAGGAAATGAAGAAATAATGAAGCAGTCAAATTTGTGCATGCATTTAGATTTAAGAAACCTTGAAGTGAAATTTGAATGTTATCAATACCTATCCTTTATATTTAATATTTTAAAATGAGGACAAAATAAGTACGTGTGTATATATTATTTTTATATGTATATCACATGTCATCTATACTTGTATGTATATACACATACATATTTATGTGTGTGTATGTACGTGTGTATATATATATAGTTAGGGTACTAGAAAATGTAGTGTACCTTAAAACCATGCAAACATATTTTGGACTTACATATAAAGTAGAATTAGCTTCTGAATATAACCAATCTCATCAATTTACACAGTAGTTATATAACTGAAAAATTCATTGTATATTAAAACTATGCAATCACGCCGGTAATCCCAGCACTTTGGGAGGCCGAGGCGGGCGGATCACGAGGTCAGGAGATCGAGATCATCCTGGCTAACACGGTGAAACTCCGTCTCTACTAAAAATAAAAAATAAAAGATAAAAAAAAAATTAGCTGGACGTAGTGGCAGTCGCTTGTAGTCCCAGCTACTTGGGAGGCTGAGGCAGGAGAATGGCTTGAACCCAGGAGGCAGAGGTTGCAGTGAGCCGAGATGACGCCACTGCACTCCAGCCTTGGCAGCAGAGTGAGACTCTGTCTCAAAAAAAAAAAAAAAAAAAAGTCATGGAAATGTTATTTTGTGTTTATACGTAAAATAGAGTTTGGTTCTAACTTAAGATATTTCAAACAGAGTTTTACCAATATGAATGTCCGATGCATTTAAAAATTACATGAGAAAAGCTCAATTCTGTATTGTGCAGGATATTCTAAGCATTGCAGGACATACATAAATGCCAGCCCCACCATCTTTGTGACAACTAGACACTCCAGCAACAACTAAATTCTGAAGCGTCTCCTGGGGCATGAGAGCACCTGTTGAGAGCTGTGTTATAGATGATGAGGGCTTCTGCAAAGGATGAAATCCAGTGATCTATGTAGACAAGAAATTGAGTAAAAAGCTGCCCATTTTCCATGTGGGTGCTGATGGAGACATTTTTGCTAAAGGATCTAAAGCTTTCTTAATGTAATTCATTAGTTTCCATTTTCATTTCTTTTCAGGTTTTAAGAGTTGCTTTCTCTTTCTACAGCAAACTACACATAGAATTAAAAACAGGGCACACATTTAGCTGTTGGCTCAGTCGGTAGGCAAATCGTAAAGTTTTGGGGAACTGTGAGAAAAGCTATATATCCAAATAGCTACTCAACATCTTCAACCGGATCTAATAGACTTCTCCAACGCAGTATGTTCTCTTCTCCCCAAAATGGTTCTTCTCATAGCTTCTCTGTCTCAGTAAATGGCCACTCCAGTCTTCCAGCTGCTCAGGCCAAGAACTTTAGGTTATCCCAGACTCTGCTTCTTTCATTTCCCATGTCTGGTGAGTCATTAAGTTTTGTAGATTGTGCCACTAAAATGTATTTAGAATCTGACCATATCTCAGTACCCCCACTATCACTAACCTGGGGCAAGGCATCATCGTCTTTCTCTCTGCAGGATTTTCATGTACCTCCTAACTGGTATCTCATTCTTCACAACGTTCTTAACCCAGCAGCTAGAATGATGCTGTTAAACATAACGCAGATTACATCACTCTGCTCAAAATTGTCTGTGGTTCCTATCTGACACAGAGCAAAAGTTAGTTCTATGATGACCATAGAACCCGTCGCCCTCTGGACATGTCCCCACTCTGTGACTCCTCTAGTCATATCTTTCCTTCCTTCACCCTGCTACAGTCAAATTTCACTGCTGGCTGTGCTTCGAAACTGCAGGTATTCTCCCTTCTCAGGATCTCAGACTTGCCTTGTCCCTCTGTCTGGAATGTTCTTACCACAGATGTGTGCACTGCCAGCTCTCTCACTTCTTACATGTTTTTGAGGAAAATTCAGCTTCTCAGTAAAACTTCCCTTGGTCACCTTATCTAAAATTTCAAACCACCGTCCCCTACCTCAGTAGGTACTATCCCCTCCCATATGCCTTATTTTTTCTCCATGGTATTATATTACTTATCACTACTTAAAATAATGAACATATTTTGCAGCTGTGAGAGCAGAGATTTGATCTATTTTATTGTCTGAGTTACCTCTAGTATTTAGAGCTGCTGCCAGGCTTTGGATAGCACTAAATAATAGATAATGGCTGAATAAATAAATGAATATACTTTTTCATTCTACCTTATATGGACTTTTAATGAGAATTTGTTGTGTGCCCTGTAGGATGTGGTTCTTTTTCTTGTGGAACTTGCAGAAGGGGAGACATAGTCCTTAGACTGACAATGATAAACACTATTGCACTTCAGTGGAATGTTGCAGGAGTATTATACGAGGGTTCATGGCGAAAGGACTCAACACCATCTTGAGGAATCCAAGGGAGCTAGGTTGTGGAGGATTGTTGGGTGGATTATGGCATGATGAAAGGTATCCAGAAGAGGGAGATTACAATTAAAACTGCAAAGGCACAGAGCCAGGAAGTGTTTGATGTCTCTAGGAGCCACAGGCACTTTGTGGTTAACTTAGCGTAAGGTTTATGCAAGGAAGTGGTGAGAGGTGGGGCTGGAGAAGCCAACAAGAGCTGGGACTTTGCAAACAACATTAAGATAGTTGGGTTTTATCCTCCAGACTATAGGGGCCATTGAAAAATAAAAGCAGGAGAGTAGTGGTATCAGATTTATATTTTAGGTTGGCTGCTTGTTGATTTTATGGTGCTAGCTGTAGACATCTGAAAGAAAAATAATGACAATATGAACTAGGCCAGTTGTCAAAGGGCTGGAGGAGAAAAGAACTAGATAAATATTATGGGGCTAAAACTATCTGACCTTGATGGAAAGTTGAATGTGGGAAGTAAAAACAGGATAACCACCAAATATTTAGTATGGGTATCTAAATGGATGGTGATACCATAAACTAAAATAAAATAATGGAGACAGAGTTAGAGTTATTTATTTTTTGTTGCAGTGGTGAGCCATGAAATGATGATGAGTTTGGTTTTGTTCACTTGACTTTGAAATGGCTGTGAGGGATATAGGTATATCTGACTAGCAAACAGTTACTATGTGAGTCAGAAGCTCAGGAGCCAGGTCCTCAGTAGAGATAAAGATCTACCTTTGTTGGAATAAAGTTGAAACCATTCGAATGTGGAAGTGATCACTCAAGGAGCAAATGCAAAGTGGTGAGTCCTGGATGGAATTAAGGGCTTGGTGAAGGAACAGGAACCTCAGAGAGGAGAGGAGAAACTGGAAAAAAGATGTCACTGAAGCAATAGTGTATCAAAGGTCAGTAAGGAGGTACTGAGCGACTGATTAAGTGACACAGAGCTACAATAAGATAAAAATTTAAAACATGTTCATTATATTTTGCAGATGGGGGTCATGGATAATATTCATGTGTTTTTTTAAAAAGTATTTATTAAGAACATGCTGTGTGTTGGTACTGTGCACAGCTCTTTAATGAGATAATGAAAAAGAAGTACCTGATCTGGGCCCCTGTAGATTTTATAGACTGGAAGAGTAGAGAGTCTGAATGGAGGGATACAGATAATTAAAGAGTTTTAAAATGTAGAGTGAGGAATGCTGCAACAGGGCTAGTGCAGGGTGCTTCTCAATTAGTAGATACAATGCCATAAATATGCTGTATTTAGAATTCTCTCCCTACCTTTAAGTCCCCTTAACTGGAGAACTGCTACTTGTCCTTCATTTCTTAGATCAAATGTCATTTTCTTAGAGAAACCTCCTCTGACCCTTACACCAGATCAAGCTCATCTATTGAGTACTGTCTTCATACTTTCTACTTTTCCTTCACAGCATTTGGCATAGCTTATGAATATATATTTGTTAGTACAATTGATTACTCTCTGTCTACACCTATAAGCTCCTTAAGGGCAGGAGCCATGTCAGACTTTATCAGTGAGAAAATATTTTTTCATGCATTTGGCATAGCTTATGCATATATATTTGTTTATACAGTTGGTTAATGTCTGTATACATGTATAAGCTCTTTAAAGGCAGGAGCCCTGTCAGATTTTATCAATGAACAAAGTAATTATTTGTTGAATGAAAAAATGAATGAAAGACAGCTAGATGTTTCAAGAACATGGGATTGCAGTCAGCTTAGGAGGAATTGAGATGCAAGTAAGAACAATGAGTAGTATTCTTTGGAAAAATTTGGTAAATATGAAAAGGTGAAGGTAATCATTGGGTAGAGGGCCAGGTGGAATGAAAGGAAGGATTTAGTAGGATGACATGTATAATCACAGAGAGGAGAGGTGAAGATGAAGCTGAAGGAGGGGAAAACTGGCATCTGAAGATTTCTGAGAACATGGGGCAGTGGGATCAAGGGAAGTGGTGTGGTAAAGAAGAAGGAAGAAAACTAGGCTCATTTATTGTACGGCTCTACCCTGAGGAATAAGATTTGGACAGTATACTACACTTTAATGAATTCTTGTCATTATAAATTAATCATAAGACTTAACTTGAAACATGAAATTTTCTGTAACAAAAAAAGAACTCAGTACATTGGAGACAATTATTGCTATCAGAGTGTTGGCCTTAAAAAGCTAACATTATAGCAAGAGACACCAAATAATTTTGAAATCAGCATCTATTTATTTTTGCAGCATAGTCTACTGTGATAGAAGCAGCTGTTTCTTATTCATTTGGAGTTTTACACCTGATAATTACCTCTAAATAGTAGTCTTTTACACCTAGTCCTTGATATTTTCTATTGACTCCCTGACATGGCAGTTGAGGATTCATTTTACTTACTTGAATTCAGCTGCATTCATATTGCTGCAAAGGATGTGATTTCATTCTTCTTTATGGCTCAGTAGTATTCCATGATCTATATATACCACATTTTCTTTATCCAGTCCACTGTTGATGGGCACCTAGGTTGATTCAGTTTGTTTGCTATTGTGAATAGTGCTGCAATGAAAATGCAAGTGCATCTTTTTCATGAACTATTTTCTTTTGGGTATATCCCCAGTAATAGGACTCCTGGGTCCAACTGTAGTTCTAAGTTCTTTGAGAAATCTCCAAACTGCTTTCCACAGTGATTGAACTAATCCACATTCCCAGCAATAGTGTATAAGCATTCCCTTTTCTTTGCAGCCTCACCAGCATCTGTTGTTTTTTGACTTTTTAATAATACCCATTCTGACTGGTGTGAAATCTCAGGGGATTTTTTTTATTTCAATAGTTTTTGGGGTACCGTTGGTTTTTGGTTACATGGGTAAATTCTTTAGTGGTGATTTCTGAGATTATAGTGCACCCATTATCCGAGCAGTGTACACTGTACCCATTACATTATGCCTCATCCCTTTCCCACTCTTACCTCCTATTCCTAGTCCCCAAACTTCATGAGATCATCTTTATACCTTTGCATCCCCATAGCTTAGCTCCCACTTATAATTGAGACCATACAACATTTGGTTTTCCATTCCTGAGTTACTTCACTTAGAGTAATGGCCTCCAGCTCCATCCAAGTTTCTGCAAAAGACATTATTTCATTTCTTTTATGCTCTTCAGTAGTATTCCATGGTGTATATATAGCATGTTTTCTTTATCCACTCATTGATTGTTGGGTACTTAGATTGGTTCCACATCTTTGCAGTTGTGAATTGTGCTGCTATAAACATGTGCGTGCACATGTATTTTTCATATAATGATGTCTGTCCTTTTGGATAGATATTCAGCAGCAGGATTGCTGGATCAAATGATAGCTTTACTTTTAGTTCTTCAAGGAATCTGTTTTCCATAGTGATTGTACTAACTTGCAGTTCCACAAACATAAAAGTGTTTTCTTTTCACCACATTCACACCAACATCTATTGTTTTTTGACTTTTTAATTATGGCCATTCTTGTAGGAGTAAGGTGGTATCTCATTGTGTTTTTAATTTGCATTTCCCTGATAATTAGTGATGCTGAGCATTTTTTCATATGTTTGTTGACTGTTGGTATCTCTTCTTTTGAGAAATGTCTATTCATGTCCTTTGTCCACTTTTTTATGGGATTTGTTTGAGTTTCAGGAAATTTTTTTAAAGCTTTCCTTGTAACTTTTGTTTCTAATTAATTCTTCCAGGTATCAAAAGTCATTGAAGGAAACACATATA